>NC_000012.12:70490431-70641946 GCF_000001405.40 Homo sapiens
TTTTTTTTTTTTTTACAAACCTTCCACAACTTGCTTAAACCTTCAGCTATACTTTATCTAACTTAAAACAATCCTTTAACCTTTTAATCTAGGCCAAAAAAAAAAAAAAAAAAAAAGGCATGGAAGACATTCCCATGCCTTCTTATAATCTTTTACCAAAAAACACATTTCTCTTTCCTTGCACACCTTGCATGTAAAACTGTCTTTGTTTCCCAAAAATTACTTAAGTCACATAAACTAAAAGGCATTACAGTTTTTACTTTTCTGCCAAATATTTGATTTGAGCACTTACTAATTTCGAACCAATTAAAGCTTTTATATATCCCACACAAAACATATATAAATACGCAGAAGATCCTACAGTTACAAGGTTTTTCATTCACCAGTTTTTTTTTTTTTAATCTAAGTTCTGTGGTGCATGTGCAGAATGTGCAGGTTTGTTACATAGGTATATATGTGCCATGGTGGTTTGTTGCACCCATCAACCCATTATCTACATTAGGTATTTCTCCTAATGCTATCCCTCCCTTAGCTCCCCACCCCCTGAACAGGCCCAGGTGTGTGACATTCCCCTCCTTGTGTCCATGTGTTCTCATTGTTCAGCTCCCACTTATGAATGAGAACATGTGGTGTTTGGTTTTCTGTTCTTGTGTTAGTTTGCTGAGAATGATTGTTTCCAGCTTCATTCATGTTCCCTGCAAAGGACATGAAGTCATCCCTTTTTATGGCTGCATAGTATTCCATGGTGTATAGGTGCCACATTTTCTTTATCCAGTCTATCATTGATGGGCATTTGGGTTGGTTCCAAGTCTTTGCTATTGTGAATAGTGCTGCAATAAACATACATGTGCATGTGTCTTTATAGTAGCATGATTTCTAATCCTTTGGGTATGTATCCAGTAATGGGATTCCTGGGTCAAATGGTATTTCTAGTTCTAGATCCTTGAGAAATCACCACGCTGTCTTCCACAAAGGTTGAACTAATTTACACTCCCACCAACAGTGTAAAAGTGTTCCTATTTCTCCACATCCTCTCCAGCATCTGTTATTTCCTGAATTTTTAATGATCCCCTTTCTAACTGGTGTGAGATGGTATCTCATTGTGGTTTTGATGTGCATTTCTCTGATGACCAGTGATGATGAGCTTTTTGTCGTATGTTTGTTGGCTGCGTAAATGTCTTCTTTTGAGAAGTGTCTGTTCATATCCTTCACCCACTTTTTGATGGGGTTGTTTTTTTCTTATAAATGTGTTTAAGTTCTTTGTAGATTCTGGGTATTAGCCCTTTGTTAGATGGATAAATTACAAAAATTTTCTCTCATTTTGTAGGTTGCCTGTTCACTCTGATGATAGTTTCTTTTGCTGTGCAGAAGTTTTTTTTGTTTGTTTTTTGTTTTTGTTTTTTTTTGAGATGGAGTCTCGCTCTGTCACACAGGCTGGAGTGCAGTGGCATGATCTCGGCTCACTGCAAGCTCTGCCTCCTGGGTTCACGCCATTCTCCTGCCTCAGCCTCGTGAGTAGCTGGGACTACAGGTGCCCACCACCATGCCCGGCTGATTTTTTTTAATGTATTTTCAGTGGAGATGGGGTTTCACCATGTTAGCCAGGATGGTCCTGATCTCCTGACCTCATGATCCACCCACCCGGCCTCCCAAAGTGCTGGGATTACAGGCGTGAGCCACCATGCCCAGCCAGAAGTTCTTTAGTTTGATTAGATGTCATTTGTCAATTTTCGCTTTTGTTGCCATTGCTTTTGCTGTTTTAGTCATGAAGTCTTTGCCCATGCCTATGTCCTGAATATTATTGCCTAGGTTTTCTTCTAGAATTTTTATGGTTTTGTGTTTTACATTTAAGTCTTTAATCCATCTTGAGTTAATTTTTGTATAAGGTGTAAGGAAGGGGTCCAGTCTCAGTTTTCTGCATATAGTTGGCCAGTTTTCTCAGCCCCATTTATTAAATAGGGAATCCATTCCCCATTGCTTGTTTTTATCAGGTTTGTCGAAGATCAGATGGTTGTAGATGTGTGGTGTTATTTCTGAGGTCTCTCTTCTGATCCATTGGTCTATATATCTGTTTTGGTACCAGTGCCATGCTATTTTGGTTACTGGAGCCTTGTATAGCTTGAAGTCAGGTAGTGTGATGCCTCCAGCTTTGTTTTTTGTTTTGTTTTGTTTTCTGTTTTTTGTTTTTTTTTTGCTTAGGGTTGTTTCGGTTATGCAGGCCCTTTTTTGGTTCCATATCAAATTTAAAGTAGTTTTTTTTCTAAATCTGCGAAAAATGTCAATGGTAGTTTGATGGGAATAGCATTGAATCTATAAATTATTTTGGGTATTATGACCATTTTCACAATATCAGTTCTTCTTATCATGAGCATGGAATGTGTTTCCACTTGTTTGTGTCCTGTCTTATTTCCTTGAGCAGTGATGTGTAGTTCTCCTTGAAGAGGTCCTTCACATCCTTGTAAATTGTATTCCTAGGTATTTTATTCTCTTTGTAGCAATTGTGAATGGGTGTTCATTCATTATTTGTCTCCCTGTTTGTCTGTTATTGGTGTATAGGAATGCCTGTGATTTTTGCACATTGATTTTTTATCCTGAGACTTTTCTCAAGTTGCTTATCAGCTTCAGGAGATTTTGGGCTGAGTTGATGGGGTTTTCTAAATATAGAATCATGTCATCTGCAAACAGCCACTTTGACTTCCTCTTTTCCTATTTGAATACCCTTTATTTCTTTCTCTTGCCTGTTTGCCCTGGTCAGAACTTTCAATACTATGTTGAACAGGAGTGGTGAGAGAGGGTATCCTTGTCTTGTGCCGGTTTTCAAAGGGAATGCTTTTAGTTCTTGCCTATTCAGTACAATATTGGCTATGGGTTTGCCATAAATAACTCTTATTATTTTGAGATATGTTCTCAAATTAATACCTAGTTCATTGAGAGTTTTTAGTATGAAGGGCTGTTGAATTTTGTTGAAGGCCTTTTCTGCATCTATTGAGATAATCATGTCTGGTTTTTGTCATTGGTTCTGTTTATGTGATGGATTATGTTTATTGATTTGCATATATTGAACCAGCCTTGCATCCCAGGGATGAATCCCACTTGATAGTGGTGGATAAGCTTTTTGATGTGCTGCTGGATTCGGTTTGCCAGTATTTTATTGAGATTTTCGTGTCGATGTTCATCAGGGATATTGGCCTGAAATTTTCTTTTTTTGTTGTGTCTCTACCAGGTTTTGGTATCAGGATGATGGCTGGCCTCATAAAATGAGTTAGGAAGGATTCCCTCTTTTTCTATTGATTGGAATAGTTTCAGAAGGAATGGTACCAGATCCTCTTCGTACTTCTGGTAGAATTCGGCTGTGAATCTGTCTGGTCCTGGACTTTTTTTGGTTGGTAGGCTATTAATTACTGCCTTAATTTCAGAACTTGTTATTGGTCTATTCAGGGATTCGACTTCTTCCTGATTTAGACTTGGGAGGGTGTATGTGTCCAGGAATTTATCCATTTTTTTCTAGATTTTCTAGTTTATTTGCGTAGAGGTGTTTATAGTATTCTCTGATGGTAGTTTGTATTTCTGTGGAATTGGTGGTAATATCCCCTTTATCATTTTTTATTGCATCCATTTGATTCTTCTCTCTTTTCTTCTTTATTAGTCTGGCTAGTGGTCTATTTTGTTGATCTTTTCAATACCAGCTCCTGGATTCATTGATTTTTTTGAAGGCGTTTTCGTGTCTCTATCTCCTTCAGTTCTGCCCTGATCTTAGTAATTTCTTGTCTTCTACTAGCTTTTGAGTTTGTTTGCTCTTGCTTCTCTAGTTCTTTTAATTGTGATGTTAGGTTGTCAATTTTAGATCTTTCCTGCTTTCTCTTGTGGGCATTTATTGCTATAAGTTTCCATCTAAACACTGCTTTAAATGTGTCCCAGAGATTCTGGTATGTTGTTTTTGTTCTCATTGGTTTCAAAGATCATCTTTGTTTCATTGTGTCTTTGTTGTCATTGGTTTCAAAGGACATCTTTAATTCTGCCTTAATTTTGTTATATACCCAGTAGTCACTCAGGAGCAGGTTGTTTAGTTTCCATGTAGTTATGTGGTTTTGAGTGAGTTTCTTAATCCTGAGTTCTAATTTGATTGCACTGTGGTCTGAGAGACAGTTCATCATGATTTCCATTCTTTTGCATTTGCTGAGGAGTGTTTTACTTAGAATTATGTGGTCAATTTTAGAATAAGTCTGATGTTGTGGTGAGAAGAGTGTATATTCTGTTTATTTGGGGCGGGGAGTTCTGTAGATGTCTATTAGTTCTGCTTGGTCCAGAGCTAAGTTTGAGTCCTGAATATCCTTGTCAATTTTCTGTCTCTTGGATCTAATATTGACAGTGGGGTGTTAAAGTCTCCCACTATTATTGTGTGGGAGTCTAAGTCTCTTTGTAGGTCTCTAAGAACTTGCTTTATGAATCTGGTTGCTCCTGTACTGGGTGCATATATATTTAGGATAGTTAGCTCTTCTTGTTGCATTGATCCCTTTACCATTATGTAATGCCCTTCTTTGTCTCTTTTGATCTTTGTTGGTTTAAAGCCTGTTTTATCAGAGACTAGGATTGCAACCCTGTTTTTTTTTTTTTTTTTTTTTTTTTGCTTCCCATTTGCTTGGTAAATATTTCTCCATTCCTTTATTTTGAGTCTATGTGCGTCTTTGCACGTGAGATGGGTTTCCTGAATACACTACATTGATGGGTCTTGACTTTTCATCCAGTTTGCCAGTCTGTGTCTTCTAATTGCGGCATTTAGCCCATTTACATTTAAGGTTAATATTGTTATGTGTAAATTTGATCCTGTGATTATGATGCTAGCTGGTTATTTTGCCCGTTAGTTAATGCAGTTTCTTCACAGTGTCAATGGCCTTTACAATTTGGTACGTTTTTGCAGTGGCTGGTACTGGTTGTTCCTTTGCATGTTTAGTGCTTCCTTCAGGAGCTCTTGTACGGCAGGCCTGGTGGTCTCTTAGCATTTGCTTGTCTGTAAAGGATTTTATTTCTCCTTTGCTTATGAAGTTTAGTTTGGCTGGATGTGAAATTCTGGGTAGAAAATTATTTTCTTTAAGAATGTTAAATATTGGCCCCCACTGTTTTCTGGCTCATAGGGTTTCTGCAGAGAGATCCGCTGTTAGTCTGATGGGCTTCCCTTGTGGGTAACCTGACCTTTCTCTCTGGCTGCTCTTAACCTTTTTTCCTTTATTTCAACTTTGGTGAATCTGATGATTATGTGTCTTGGGGTTACCCTTCTCTAGGAGTGTCTTTGTGGTGTTCTCTGTATTTCCCGAATTTGAATTTTGGCCTGTCTTGCTAGGTTGGGGAAGTTCTCCTGGATAATATCCTGAAGAGTGTTTTCCAACTTGCTTCCATTCTCCCCATCACTTTTCAGGTACACCAAGCAAATGTAGATTTGGTCTTTTCACATAGTCCCATATTTCTTGGAGGCTTTGTTCTTTCCTTTTCATTCTTTTTTCTCTAATCTTGTTTTCACATTTTATTTCATTAATTTGATCTTCAGTCGCTGATATCCTTTCTTCCACTTGATTGATTTGGCTATTGACACTTGTGTATACTTCACGAAGTTCTCATGCTGTGTTTTTCAGCTCTATCAAGTCATTTATTCTCTTCTCCAAACTGGTTATTCTAGTTAGCAATTTATTTAATCTTTTTTCAAGGTTCTTAGCTTCCTTGCATTGGGTTAGAACATGCTCCTTTAGCTCAGAGGAGTTTGTTATTACCCACCTTCTGAAGCCTACTTCTGTCAATTCATCAAACTCATTCTCCATCCAGTTTTGTTCCCTTGCTGGCGAGGAGTTGTGATCCTATGAAGGAGAAGAGACATTCTGGTTTTGGGAATTTTCAGTCTTTTTGCACTGGTTTCTCCCCATCTTCATGGATTTATCTACCTTTGGTCTTTGATGTTGGTGACCTTTGGATGGGGTCTCTGAGTGGACATCCTTCTGTTGATGTTGATGTTATTCCTTTCTGTTTGTTAGTTTTCCTTCTAACAGTCTGGCCCCTCTGCTGCAGGTTTGCTGCAGTTTGCTGGAGGTCCACTCCAGACTCTGTTTGCCTGGGTATCACTAGCGGAGGCTGCAGAACAACAAAGATTGCTGCCTGTTCCTTCCTCTGCAAGCTTCTTCCCAGAGGGACACCCACCAGCTGCCAGCCGGAGCTCTTTTGTATGAGGTGTCTGTTGGCCCCCACTGGGAGGTGTCTCCCAGTCAGGCAATGTGGGGGTCAGGGACCCGCTTGGAGGAGGCAGTCTGACTCTTAGCAGAGCTCAAACGCTGTGCTGGGAGATCCACTGCTCTCTTAAGAGCCATCAGGCAGGAGTGTTTAAGTTTACTGAAGTTGTGCCCACAGCCGCCCCTTCCCCCAGGTGCTCTGTCTCAGGGAGATTGGGGTTTTATCTCTAAGCCCCTGACTGGGACTGCTGCCTTTTTTTCAGAGATGCCTTGCCCAGAGAGGGGGAATCTAAAGAGGCAGTCTTTCCACAGCAGTGTTGCTCCACCCAGTTCGAACTTCCCGGTGGCTTTGTTTACACTGTGAGGGTAAAACTGCCTACTCAAGTCTCAGAATTGTGGACGCTCTTCCCCCCACCAAGTTTGAGTGTCCCGGCTTGCCTTCTGACTGCTGTGCTGGCAGTGAGAATTTCAAGCCAGTGGATCTGAGCTTCTTGGGCTCCGTGGGGGTGGGACCTTCCAAGCCAACCACTTAGCTCCCTGGCTTCAGCCCCCTTTCCAGGGGAGTGAACGGTTTTGTCTCACTGGCATTCCAAGCGCCACTGGGGTATGAAAAAAAACTCCCGCAGCTAGCTTGGTGTCTGCCCAAACAACTGCTCAGTTTTGTGCTTAAAACCCAGGGCCCTGGTGGCATAGGCACTGGAGGGAATCTCCTGGTTTGCAGGTTGCAAAGACCATGGGGAAAGCACAGTATCTAGGCCAGAGTGCACTGTTCACAGTCCCTCATGGCTTCCCTTGGCTAGGGCAGGGAATTCCTTGACTCCTTGCACTTCCTGGGTGAGGCAATACCCCACCCTGCTTTGGCTCACCCTCCATGGGCTGCACCCACTGTCCAACCAGCCCCAGTAAGATGAACTGGGTACCTCAGTTGGAAATGCAGAAATCACCTGCCTTCTGCGTCGATCTCGCTGGGAGCTATAGACTGGAGCTGTTCCTACTCAATTATTTTGCCAGCGATCTCATTCACCGGTTTTTAAGTTGTCTTTAAAGCATGCAGTTTCTAAGGCCTAATAAGCAGACACAACTGGAAGGCAAAACAGATCTCCAGAAATTAAGGACTCCATTTTTATATCAGATCCTTGATCCCAAAAAGATTGAATTGGCCCTTCTCCAAAGGATGTTGCCTACCTAGTTATTACACACCACATTTTTCTTATTATGTGTAGTAATTTCTGATACCCTCAAAAGTCAAAAACATCAGCTAATGTAATGCAAAACAGAACATAGCCTTAGATTTTGAGAAGGATCTATCCACTTTTAATTCCTTGTATTCCATGAGGAAAACATTTATTTTTCCCGGAAACTGGGTCTGTGGTTCCACCTCTGTTTTTCCTAAGGAGTCCCAAGCTATCAGAGCTTGGATATCAACTTTTAGTTAAACTGACTTTTAATCATAGCACTCTAAAAAAAAAATCCTTTTAAATTTTTTATTACCCCACTTTAGCTAGGCCAAACAGTTGATATTTCTGGTTTTTGAACTGCAACAAAAATAACCTCACACATGCTCTGAAAAGGAAATTCAAGACAGTTTGCGGAAAAGAAGAGAATCAAAAGATGGCAAAGGTCACCCAAATATCAGTCAGATATGCTCGTCCCCTAAGGTAGGGGTTGAACTCTGAACCCAGGCCACCACTGTGAAAAGAGAAAGTACGGCCACATGGTTATAAGGTCAAGCTCCCAAGGACAAACAAGACAAGAGAGAAACCTCATCCAGTTTTTTTTTTTTTTTTCCTTTTCAGGACCCTTCAGCAAAGTTTATAACTGACCAATTTGCTGGGCCATCTTTAACAGCAGGCTTATGAGGTCCTAGGCCCGCATTCTATCCTACGGTACCCCTCTTTATGACAGAACAAAACAGAAAGACCCACAAAGCACATCAGATTCACTACAGCTTAAGACTAGCCTCACAAATCCTTTTTTCCATTAATCAAAACTTTACAGAGGAGATAAATAGTGATTTTTTAAAACCATTCATTCAACTGGTTTGCACAGAGAGAGAGAGAAAGAGAGGAAAGCATTGCCTGATGTAAGGTGGGGAAGGTGAAGAGCTCAGGGAGGCTAGAGAAAGATGAGATAGAGACAGAGAGAGAGAGAGAGAAGCATTGCCTGATGTAAGATGGGGAAGGTGAAGAGTTCAGGGAAGCCAGAGAAAGACTCACCCATTGCTCAAAAGTTCAGGCAACTGCTTGTTGGTCAGAGAGGGATCTTTTCCAGCAGTCTCATCAGCTGTCAAATTTCCTTTTTTTGGGAAGGAAAAAGCTTCCTATGTCCCATGGTCCTATATGTGCCTAATTCTGTCACCCATAGCTGTCAGCAAAGAGTGCAAGGCAGATTACTTCAAACAGAATAGTTAATATCCCATAGTGCCAAACTCGTTCTTAGGCAACACGGACTTTACCTGGAGGGGCCTCTAATCCCCTAAATCTTAGGAAGGACTCTAACCTTCCTAAGTTGTGCCTCAAACCCATGTTTGGTCAAGCATCCTTTTCTTTTATTGAGAGGAGTCTTTAACCCACACAGTCTTAGGAGAGATTCTAACTCCTCTATGTTGGGCCTCTAACCCAATCCCATCCTTTACCTGGTTAAATGCACCCCACTTACCCAAAGTCAGCCAATTGGTGTTGCATGCAGATGATTTTCCTTTGGATAGGGGGTCTCCTCAGTATGGTCCCTTCAGGGTTCACCATGAAGATGTTACTGGACCCTATCACTTACCCAAAGTTAGCCTTTGGGTCAAGGGTTTCCTCATTCTCATCCTTTCCATGGTTGCCAGAAAGATGTTACCACAAAAGGGTCCCAATCCAGATTCCAAGAGAGGTTTCTTGGATCTCATACAAGAAAGAATTCAGGGTGAGTCCATCGAGTATAGTGAAAGCATGTTTTATTTTATTTTATTTTATTTTATTTTATTTTGTTTATGAGACAGAGTCTCACTCCATCACCCGTGCTGGAGTGCAGTGTCACAGTCTCTGCTCACTGCAACCTCCACCTCCAGGGTTTAAGCGATTCTCCTGCCTCAGCCTCCCAAGTAGCTGGGATTACAGGTACCTGCCACCATGACTGGCTAATTTTTGTATTTTGTTTTTGAGATGAAGTCTCACTCTGTCACCCAAGCTGGAGCGCAGTGGCACGATCTCGGCTCACTGCAACCTCCACCTCCCGGGTTCAAGCAGTTCTCCTGCCTCTGCCTCCTAAGTAGCAGGGACTACGGGCATGTACCACCATGCCCAGCTAATTTTTGTATTTTTTTTAGTAGAGATGGGGTTTCACAATGTTGGCCAGACTGGTCTCGAGCTCCTGAACTTGTGATCCAGCCACCTTGGCCTCCCAAAGTGTTGGGATTACAGGCGTGAGCCACCACGCCCGGCCTAATTTTTGTATTTTTAGTAGAGACGGGTTCCACCATGTTGGCCAGGCTGGTCTCGAACTCCTGACCTCAGGTGATCCACCCTCCTTGGCCTTCCAAAGTGCTGGGATTACAGGCATGAGCCACCACACCGAAAGCATGTTTATTAAGAAAGTAGAGGAGAGCAATTACTAAGTATGGCTACTCCATTAGGCAGTGCAGCCCTGAGGGCTGCTAGTTGCCCATATTTATTTTTCTTGATTATATGCTAAACAAGAGGTGGATTATTCATGCCTCCCCTTTTTAGACCATGTAGGGTAACTTCCTGACGTTATGTCATTTATAACCTGTCATGGTGCTGGTGGGACTGCAGCATTGAGGATGACAAGAGGTCATTTTTGTCGCCATCTTGGTTTTGGCCAGCTTCTTTACTGCAACTTGTTTATCAGCAAAGTCTTTATGACCTGTATCTTGTGCTGATCTCCTATCTCATTCTGTGACCTAGAATGCATAATTGTCTGGAAATGTAGGTCAGTAGGTTTCAGCCTCATTTTACCCAGCTACTAAGATGGAGTTGCTCTGGTTACAACACCTCTGACAATTTCACCAAAGAGACACATACCCTCTTATGTTTATCACAGCATAGTTCTCAATAGCAAAGATGTGGAATCGATCTAGGTGCCCATCAACAGTGGATTGATGTGGAAATGTACATATACATATACACCATGGAATACTGGGCAGCCATAAAACAGAACAAAATCACGTTCTGTAGACCCTGTATCAAACAACAACATCAACAACAACAAACCAGACACTGGGGATTATTAGATGGGGGAGGGAGAGAGGGGAGTCAAGGGTTGAAAAACTAACTTTGGGTACTGTGCTCACTACCTGAGAGACTGGATCATTTGTACCCCAAACCTGAACATCAAGCAATACACTCATGTAACAAACCTGCAAATGTATCCCCTGAATCTAAAATAAAAGTTGAAATTATAAAGAGAAAAAAATACTACATTTTCTTTTTTTTAATACAACTTTATGAAATTTAGCTGGCTAGTTTGAGACTCTTTGAAATAAATTTACATCGATAAAAGAAATATTTATTTGTAAAGGTATCTTCTTTTCTGAACCTAAACCCCTTGAAACATTTAGTGCTTTGTTTGTTTTACTTTAAGTTTGGGATATATGTGCAGAACATGCAGGTTTGTTACATAGCTACATGTGCCATGGTGGTTTGCTGCACCTATTGACCCATCCTCCAAGTCCCCTTCCCTTGCTCCCCATCCCCCAACAGGACCTGGTGTGTGTTGTTCTCCTCCCTGTGTCCATGTGTTCTCATTATTCAACTCCCATGTATGAGTGAGAACATGCTTTGTTTGGTTTTCTGTTCCTGTGTTAGTTTGCTAAGGATGATGGCTTCCATCTTCATCGATGTCCCTGCAAAGGACATGATCTCATTCCTTTTTATGGCTGCATACTATTCATGATGTATATGTACCACATTTTCTTTATCCAGTCTATCATTGATTGGCATTTGGGTTGGTTCCATGTCTTTGCTATTGTAACTAGTGCTGCAATAAATATACGTGTGCATGTGTCTTCATAGAAGAATGATTTATATTCCTTTGGGTATATACTCAGTAATGGGGTTGCTGGGTCAATTGGTATTTCTGATCCTAGATCCCTGAGGAATCGCCATATTGTCTTCCACGATGATTGAGCTGATTTATATTTCCATCAACAGTGTAAAATGTTCCAATTTATCCACAGCCTCACCAGCACCTATTGTTTCCTGACTTTTTTTGTGTGTGTGTGAGATGGAGTCTCGCTCTTTCACCCAGGCTGAAGTGCAGTGGCGCGATCTCGGCTCACTGCAAGCTCCGCCTCCTGAGTTCACGCCATTCTCCTGCCTCAGCCTCCCAAGTAGCTGGGACTACATGTGCCCGCCACCGCGCCCAGCTAATTTTTTGTATTTTTAGTAGAGCCGGGGTTTCACCGTGTTAGCCAGGATGGTCTTGATCTCCTGACCTCATGATCCACCCGCCTGGGCCTCCCAAAGTGCTGGGATTACAGGCATGAGCCACCACGCCCGGCCTCCTGGCTTTTTAATGATTACCATTCAGACTCATGTGAGATAGTATCTCATGGTGGTTTTGATTTGCATTTCTCTAATGATTAGTGATGCGGGGCTTTTTTTTTTTTTAATATGTTCATTGGCCACATAAATGTCTTCTTTTGAGAAGTGTCTGTTCATATCCTTTCCCCACTTTTCGATGGGGTTGTTTGTTTTTTTCTTGTAAATTTATTTATGTTCCTTGTAAATTCTGGATATTAGACCTTTGTCAGGTGGGTAGATTGCAAAAACGTTCTCCCATTCTGTAGGTTGCCTGTTCACTCTGATGCTAGTTTCTTTTGCTGTGCAGAAGCTCTTTAGGTTAATTAGATCCAATTTCTCAATTTTGGCTTTTGTTACAATTGCTTTTGGCGTTTTCATCTTGAAGTCTTTGCCCTGCCTATGCCCTGAGTGTTATTGCCTAGGTTTTCTTCTAGGGTTTTTATGGTTTTGGGTTTTACATGTAAGTCTGTAGTCCATCTTGAGTTAATTTTTGTATTAGGTGTAAGGAAGGGGTCTAGTTTTATTTTTCTGCATATGGCTAGCCAGTTTTCCCAGCACCATTTATTGAATAGAAGATCCTTTCCTCATTGCTTGTTTTTGTCAGGTTTGTCAAAGACCAGATGGTTGTGTAGATGTGTGGTGTTATTTCTAAGGTCTCTATTCTGTTCCATTGGTCTATATGTCTGTTTTGGCACCAGTACCATGCTGTTTTGGTCACCATACCCTTATAGTATATTTTGAGGTCAGGTAGCATGATGCCAGCTTTGTTTTTTTGCTTAAGATTTTCTTGGCTATATGGGGTCTTTTTGGTTCCATATGAAATTTAAAATAGTTTTTTCTAAATCTGTAAAGAATGTCAATGGTAGCTTGATGGGAATAGCATTGAATCTGTAAATTATTTTGGGCAGTATGACCATTTTCACGATATCGATTTTTCCTATCCATGAGCATGGAATGTTTTTCCATTTGTTTGTATCCTCTCTTATTTCCTTGAGCAGTGGTTTGTAGTTCTCCTTGAAGAGGTCCTTCACATTCCTTGTTAGTTGTATTCCTATGTATTTCATTCTCTTTGTTGCAGTTGTGAGTGGGAGTTCATTTATGATTTGGCTTATAGCTCTTTTGTTGTTGGTGTAAAAAAATGCTTGTGAATTTTGCACATTGATTTTGTATCCTGAGACTTTGCTGAAGTTAACAGCTTAAGGAGTTTTTGGGCCAAGATGTTGGGGTTTTCTAAATATAGAATCATGTTGTCTGCAAACAGAGACAATTTGACTTTCTCTTTTCCTATTTGAATACCCTTTATTTCTTTCTCTTGCCTGATTGCCCTGGCCAGAACTTCCAATACTATGTTGACTATGAGTGGTGAGAGCGGGCATCCTTGTATTGTACCAGTTTTCAAAGCCATTGCTTCCAGCTTTTCCCCATTCAATATGATATTGGCTGTGTGTTTTTCATAAATAGCTCTTATTATTTTGAGATATGTTCCATCAATACTTGGTTTATTGAGAGTTTTTAACATGAAGGGATGTTGAATTTTATCAAAGGTCTCTTCTGCATCTATTGAGATAATCATGTCGTTTTTTTCTTTGGTTCTGTTTATATGATGGATTATGTTCATTGATTTGTGTATGTTGAACCAGGCTTGCATCCCAGGGATGAAGCCAACTTGATTGTGGTGGATAAGTTTTTTGATTTGCTGCTGGATTTGGTTTGCCATTATTTTATTAAGGCTTTTCACATCGATTTTCTTACGGAACATTGGCGTGAAGTTTTCTTTTTTTTGTTGTGTCTCTGCCAGGTTTTGGTATCAGGATGATGCTAGCTTCATAAAATGAGTTAGGGAGGAGTCCCTCCTCTATTGTTTGGAACAGTTTCTAAAGGAATAGTACCAGTTCCTCTTTGTACCTCTAGTAGAATTTGGCTGTGAATCCATCTCTTTTTTTTTTTTGGTTGGTAGGCTGTTAATTACTGTCTCAATTTCAAAACTTGTTATTGGTCTGTTGAAGGATTCGACTTCTTCCTGGTTTAGTCTTTTTAGACCATGGTGGCATGGGAAACAGGACCCATTTAGTGAAGCACCTCATCCCTTGGTAGAGGAGGTGTGCTTTGCTGGGGGGAAACCCACTCATCTGGGCTGCCCGGATTCCTCAGAACTTCCAGGAGGAAAGGCTAAGTCTCCTGGTCTGCAGAGGTGTGGCCACCCCTCCTTCTAGGGGCTCAGGCCCATAGAGATCAGGGTTCTGTCCTTGAGCCTCTGGATGGAATTGTTGGAGTACCTGCAGGAACTCCCTCCCTGCAGGCCTCCCTGCAGGGAGGCCTTACCCAGTGAGGAAGGATGGGTCAGGGTCAGGCCTAAAGAGGGGCTCTGGCCACAGTCTGCCACAGCTGGTGTTTTGGGCTGTGGGGGAAACCTTGGGACCAAGCCGTTCAGTCTCCCTTGCTCTGGCAGTGGAAAAG
Organism: Homo sapiens; assembly: GCF_000001405.40. Classification (NCBI taxonomy): domain Eukaryota; kingdom Metazoa; phylum Chordata; class Mammalia; order Primates; family Hominidae; genus Homo; species Homo sapiens. Next base: position 70,504,626 of record NC_000012.12, read on the forward strand.
CACGGCCTGCAGCTATAGAGATGGCTGCCGTCCTTCCCCTGCCCAGGAGCTTAGCGTTTTAGGCAGTTAGCGCTGGCTGCTGACCCTCACGCAAGGAGCTCAAATGGCTTAGACAGCAGGCAGCTGCAGCTGTGGTACTGGTTTCCTCTCCCACGGGGAACTCAGCAGGCTTAAGCAGATTCTATCTGAGAGGCTGTTGAGAATCTGCGCAGCTCTGGGGTTTGGACCCTAGGCCTTGGTGGCGTGGGTTCATGAGTGGGATTTTCTGACCACGGGTTGCACAGTTCTGTGGAAAAAGCACAGTTTCCCTGGCTAGGTAGCACGCTCAACTCACTGCCTCCCTTGGTTGGTGGGTGGGGGCTCCCCTGCCCCATGTGGCCCTCAGGTGGGCTGCAGCACCACACCGCTCTTCCTTTCTCTCCATGGATCATGCCAGCCACTTAGTGAGTTCTGATGAGAGAACCTGGATACCTTGGTTGCTGGTACAGGATTCATTAGTTATAATCATTCGTTTCAATGACAGCCTCCAATTGCTGCTGCTTCTAGTCAGCCATCTTGGCCCCAACCCCCCATTTAGTGGTTTTTAATGAGAAAGACAGTGGCTTGAAGTTTACATAAGAAACCTTACTTTTGTTTGAGATACTTTTCCTGGTAATCTTGTCTTAACTGAGCTTTTACCTATGTCCTTCATTATGTCAGCAAAAATGATATTTAGATCTAAGTTCTGTGCCTTTGAGATGTAAATTTTCTGCCTGTCACTTAAGAGTCGCATCCTTGGAGGTACACATTTACAGTTGCCTAGCTAACAGTTATTTAGGGCAATGGAACAGGTAACCAAGAGATTGATAGTCTAAAGACAAGAGAGAAACTATATGAAAACTGGCAAATGAAGAATCTTATAAAAGCTATATGGGTCAGGGACAGTGGCTTACACCTGTAATCCCAGTACTTTGGGAGGCTGAGGTGGGCAGATCACTTGAGGCCAGGAGTTCGAGACCAGACTGCCCAATATGGCGAAACCCCGCCTCTACTAAAAATAAAAAAATTAGCTGGGCATGGTAGTGCATGCCTGTAATCCCAGCTAGTCAAGAGGCTGAGGCATGAGAATCGCTTCAACCAGGAGCCTGGAGGTGGAAGTTGCAGTGAGCTGAGATTGCACCACTGCACTCCAGCTTGGGTGATAGAGCAAGACTATCTCAAAAAAAAAAAAAAAAAAAAAAAGCTAGATGATCTGCTTCTATCTGTATGTCTGTATGTTTATGTGTTTATGTATCTTATATGTATGTGATATTTAACTGCCAAAATATATATTTAAAAAGCTCTAATTAATTGCATAAAGAAAAAGTAGTACTGTTGGCTGGGCACAGTGACTCATGCCTGTAATCCCAGCACTTTAGAAGGCCAATGTGGGAAAGTTGCTTGAGATCAGGAGTTCAGGACCTGCCTGGGCAACAAGGTGGGACCCCATCTCTACAAAAAATAAAAAAATTAGCCTGGCATGGCAGTGCATGCCTGCGGTCCCAGCTACATGGGAAACTGAGGTGGGAGGATCACTTGAGCTAGGGAGGTCAAGGCTGCAGTAAGCTATGTTTGCTCCACTGCACTCCAGCCTGGGTGACAGAGCGAGACCCTGTCTCAAAAAGAAGAAGGGCCAGGCGCAGTGGCTCACGCCTGTAATCCCAGCACTTTGGGAGGCTGAGGCAGGCAGATCATGAGATCAGGAGATCGAGACCATCCTGGCTAACACGGTGAAACCCATCTCCACTAAAAACGCAAAAAATTAGACAGGCGTGGTGGTGGGCGACTGTAGTCCCAGCTACTCAGGAGGCTGAGGCAGGAGAATGGCGTGAACCCTGGAGGCAGAGCTTGCAGTTCGTTGAGATAGTGCCCCTGGGTGACAGAGTGAGACTCTGTCTCAAAAAAAAAAAAAAAAAAAAAAAGGGAGGAGGAGGAAGAATGAAGGAAGAGGAGGAAGGAGAAGAAAAAGAAGAAGAACAACAACTAACAACTTACATCAAATATTTTATCAGGAAAATAGAAAGTAACTCAAATGCCTTTTAGTTCACATGACTTGGGTATATCTTTGGCAAATAAGAGTAGTTTAATATTGTTAATGAAAATAGTTTTGTCTTCTGATCAACAAAATACCCACGTATTTAACTTTAGGGTTTTTGCTTAAGTGGTTACTGCCTAACATTTTCAAGTTGTCAAAATTATTAAGAAAGAAATAACTTGAGATGATGGCTACCTTTGTTTAATAGACAGTTCAAGCATAATTGTTAAAAATGAATGCATTAGATAAATGTAAATGGAATAAATGAACTTTTTATTGTTTCAAAAATATTTTCAGTAACCTAATCTTACAGTCGTGTTAAATTAAGTTAACAAATAATCATAAAATGTCTGAGTCATTTCTAGGTAAGTTAAAATACTGGAATATTAATTGTTAAATATAGGTTTGTTTACATACTTCAGCATCTTATTTTTATATAGTGTAGGAAAGCTAAATATATTTAGATCTGTTAATAAATAATCAAACATCTTTCTAAAAATTATGAAGTGATTTTTATTTACAAATGCTGATATAAAACAGTTGAAAATTATGTCTAGGTTCTTCACTAGAAATTAAGGCTATTAAGAGTTAAAATTGTAGTTAAACTACTAGATAGAAGAGAAACAATTCTGTATACAGAGTGTATAAGGAAAAGTAGGATCCATTTTTGATAAAGAATGTTATAAAGAAGGCATGAGAGAGTGGTTTTTGTTAAAGGAAAAGTAATTTTGTCCTGAAGTTTTTAAAGGTTAAGTTGAAGGGATTTTAAAAAATAATAGCTAAAACTGGATGAATATAGAAAGTTGGTGAAAGAAAGAGAATGGGAAAAATTGTAGGAGATTGTAAAAGGCTTACAGATATCTTATCTTGTGTGGCCAAAGCTGATTGAGATTGGATGAATCAGCATTTCCATTGTGCATACTACCCTCAGTCTTCCAGACTGGTGGAAGGAGGAAATGGAATAATAAAAACAACAATCGGTAAGGCTTACAGAAACATTTAGACTATTGAGGCCTACGGCTCTTTTATTTGCTTAACTTACATTCTACCCCATTTGGAAAACAACAGCTTTCTCCCTTTGAAATGGTAACAGATGCCCCATGCACCTAGCTGAAGGAGTCTATGAACCAGCTCTCCTATGGTATTCTTCATTATTGCCAAGGCCTTATAAGTGTCTCTCTAAAAATTCTAAATTAATTATGGATTCTTTTGACAGAAAGTTCCCAGGAGATGAAGACATTGAAACTGCCATCATAAAATTAATAAAAGGTTCAAGATTAGAATTATGGTATTGGCCTGGATTTTGTTAAGACAGAGACATAGGTAAATCATTAGATGTTTCTTATACTTATTTTCCTTTCTTTGACCTTTTCTTCCTCCATGTCTAATTCCTTATATATAGTCATTTTAATAAATTATAGTTACTAGTAATTAATTATCTTCCTATTCCTGCCCCATCAGGCATGCTGCCCACAAGATTAATGAACTTGTTTTTCTCTTAAAGAACAATTATCTTTAGGTCATGTAGGTCTCCTTGATGGCTTCCAGAAGTTGAACTGGTGAAGGGGCCAAGAAGCTTTGACCACTGGGGATCTCACTTCCTGCAAACCTTTCTGCTAAGCTCTAGGCATAGTTAAACAATAACCTGCCATTGTTCCCTAGCTTGCTTTTCTATAGTAACAGCATTCACAAGCACTATTATGAAACCTAAGACTGGTCTCTGAGATATTTTTTCATACTTTGCATCCAAATGGACCAGCTGACACCAACCAGACAAGTGACCTATGACCTCAACCTAAGAACTGACTCAGTGCGTGAAGTTAGTTTTGATACTCTATGATTTCATCTCCAACTACTCAGTAGCACACATTCCCTAGCACTCCCTGCCTGCCAAACCATCCTTAAAAATCCTAGCTTTTGAATTCTTGGGGAGGTGGATTTGAGAAGCATCTCCTTGAGTGTCTGTCTCACTCAGTTGCCTTATAATAATTAAATTCTTTCTCTGCCGCAACACTTGCTGGCTTAGTGTTTTGGCTTCTTCTGTGCAGTTAGCAGGAATCCAATTAGGTGATAACAACATCAAATATGGTATCCAATCTGGAGATTTTATTTATTGGAAAAATCCATAAAATAAATGAACCATATCCAGCAGCCCCACTTGAGTGAACATCTTCATTACCGAAGGTTTTCAATACCTTGCTCTTCATATCAGGATAGGAAATAAATGAAATATTTATTTGGTTCCCTTCAGTAATAGGAACCCTTTTTGGATCTGCATTTCAGTTGTTTTGTTAATAATTGTCCTATTTGCATCATACTTTTGATTCTGAAATTGATCATGCTTTGTATTTCTAGATGTTTAAAGTCAACAACAAAAAAACTAATCATGATAGCAAGATCCTTAGAACTGATCCAACATGCTGCAGCTCCTTTGTAAGCAGATGGCCTGGTTAAGAACATTGCTGTGCCAGGCGTGGTGGCTCACGCCTGTAGTCTCAGCACTTTGGGAGGCCGAGGTGGGTGGATCACGAGGTCAGGAGATCGAGACCATCCTGGCTAACACGGTGAAACCCCGTCTCTACTAAAAAAATACAAAAAATTAGCCGGGCGTGGTGGCTGGTGCCTGTAGTCCCAGCTACTCGGGAGGCTGAGGCAGGAGAATGGCGTGAACCCGGGAGGGGGAGCTTGCAGTGAGCCAAGATTGCGCCACTGCACTCTAGCCTGGGTGACAGAGCGAGACTCCGTCTAAAAAATAAAAAATAAAAACAAAATAAAGAACATTGCTGTGTTCCTTGGAGTTGCCAATCAGTTTGACCTTGAGACCTCATGAAGATGATAAGCCATAGTGTCTCTCCTTTTTCTCTCTCTGTGGAATGAGATTACCTGGAAATGAACTTTCCTAGTAAAGTTTGTCAGACTTATATCTAAAATGTTAATCTTCAGTGCTTTTAGAAGAGAAAAATTTTAATCAAAAGGGGGAAGTGAGAATAAAAAATAGCTCAGATAAGTCTGAACTATGTGAACTTTGCAAAATGTGTCAGGCCCAGGGAGACATGAGTATGAGACTTCAGTCATGCACCCATTCCATGCCTAAATGCAATTGCTCAAAGGCATATTATTCTTTCTTTTCTTACCTGTGGTTTTCTGACTAGCTGCCTCACCCATTATCTTCATGTTCCTGGGATTTTTGATACAAAGAACAATGTATAGCAAATCAATAGTTTATGTTATTGTCATTTCTTGGTAAACAACCAAGGAAGTGCCTCTTCTTATTTCTTTTTTCTTTCTTTCTTTTTCCTTGGCTATGTCTTCTGCATGCCTGTTCTTTTTTCCTTTAAAAGCCCACTTGTAACTGCTGTAAAGTCGGGACATATATTTAGGGCAACTTGAGTCCATGCTTCTGGGTTTCAGTCTTCAAACTTGGCCCAAATAAACTCTCTCCTTATGTTAATTTTGTCTGTTTTTTCTTTAGGTTGACATGTCCTAGGGCAAAATTACTTACTTTCTGTATGCCTCTGTTTCTTCATTTATAGGATTATGTTGGCTCGGAGAATGATACCTCAAAGGCTGGTGCTGAGAGTTCTTAGAAGCTGCTTCAGAATCAAGGTTTAACCGTGTTTCTCCCCTTCCCTTACAACCCTAAGCTCAGGGAGGGACTCTTTGGATTTCCTTATCTGATGAAGAAAGCTTTCTAAAAGAAATTCTGTGGTCTTAATCCCCCTCCCTAAGGATCTCTCCAGAGATCAACCACTGGAGAAAAGATACTAGGAGTCATCACCACATCTAGACAGAGTGCTGCTCCAAGAGATTAACTGAGGGATTTCATCTGCATAATAAGTCAACCTTTTTTCCGGGCGCAATGGCTCACGCCTGTAATCCTAGCACTTTCGGAGGCCCAGGTGAGTGGATCACCTGAGATCAGGAGTTTGAGACCAACCTGGCCAACTTTGTGAAACCCTGTCTCTACTAAAAATACAAAAATTGCCAGGCATGGTGGTGCACGCCTGTAATCTCAGCTACTCGGGAGGCTGAGGCAGGAGAATTGCTTGAACCCGGGAGGTGGAGGTTGCAGTGAGCCGAGATCGCACCACTGCGCTCCAGCCTGGGTGACAGAGCGAGACTCTGTTTCAAAAAAAAAAAAAAAAAAAAAAAGACAATCTTTGTTTCTGTGCAGCTCTGCCCCTGTAATGTCTACTTCAACTTCCCAGGTCCATTCATTCTCCCTAATGGTTTATTGCGCCTCAAAAGAATTGTCTACATTCCCTATCTTCTCTTCTATGAAAAAGGATATATAAGCTTCTATACCATACTGGGTTATAGAGCAATCACTGTGATTTTCCCTCAAGCATGTTAATAATTTGTATGCCTTTTCTCCTATTAATTTGCCTTTTGTCAGTTGATTTTCAGCACATCTTCAGAGGACAAAGAAGCAGCTCTTTTCACTCCTACAATGGGAATGATAATCTCCACCTTATTTAGTTTTAAAAGAATTAAATGAGATAATGCAGCTAAAGCAGTTCAGAATAAAACCTGACATGTAGTAATACTAGTTGCTAATGATTATTAAGTGCTTATTATGTGCTAGGGCTCAAAAATATTACATGTTTCTATTCCTTTTTGTCAAACAGGGCATGTTCAAAGAGTTAAATTTGACAGATGAGAATCTACAAAGCAGGGAGGTTGCCCAAACTCAATACTGAATATCATGCATCAGAATCACCTTGGAGGACTTGTTAATAAAACACAGATTGCTGGGCCCCATCCCCAGATTTTCATATTCAGTAGGACTGGAGAGTGCTATCTAAGAATATGCATTTCTAACAACATCCCAGGTGATGCTGATGCTGCTGGTCTGGGGACCAAACTTTGAGCTACGTGGGCATAGAGGTTAAGAGGTCACATTTTGAAATCAGAAGGATTCATATTGGAAGCTGAGCTTTAATACTAGATGGCCTTGGGAAAATTACCTTGTCTTTTTTTTTTGAGATGGAGTCTCACTCTGTTACCTAGGCTGGAGTGCAGTGGCGTGATCTCGGCTCACTGCAACCTCTGCCTCCCAGGTTCAAGTGATTCTCCTGCCTCAGCCTCCCGAGTAGCTGGGATTACAAGTGCATGCCACCACGTCCAGCTACTTTTTTGTATTTTTAGTAGAGACAGGGTTTCACCGTGTTCGCCAGGATGGTCTCGATCTCCTGACCTCATGATCCACCTGCCTCAGCCTCCCAAAGTGCTGGGATTACAGGCATGAGCCACCGCACCAGGCCTACCTTGTCTTTTTAAGCTTCAATTTCTTTGTCTCCAAATAGGTATAACAACAAGAGTTGTATAAAGAGTTGAATTAGATGAGACATATAGAACATTTGGCACACAATTAGTGCATAATGTGCATTAGCCATTGTTCCTATTCTGCTAAATTTTGGGCCACTCTCCAGTCTTTTCTGTGCATCTACCTCTGTATTTGTAAAGTGAGGATATTAATCTGTATTGTATGGAAGTTGAAGGCACTCAAAAATAGCCTCAGGTGCCTTTTATTTATTATTATTATTATTATTATTATTATTATTTTTAGACAGAGTCCTGTTCTGTCGCCCAGGCTGGAGTGCAGTGGCACGATCTTGGCTCACTGCAACCTCTGACTCGCGGTTTCAAGCGATTCTCCTGCCTCAGCCTCCTGAGTAGCTGGGACTACAGGCACCCATCACCATGCCCAGCTAATTTTTGTATTTTTAGTAGAGATGGGGTTTCACCATGTTGGCCAGGATGGTCTTGATCTCCTGACCTCGTGATCCACCCACCTCATCCTCCCAAAATTCTGGGATTACAGGTGTGAGCCACCATGCCTGGCCTTATTATTATTTTTAAACTTATTTTTGGTTCAGGTTTGTTATCCAGGTAATCTCGTGTCACAGGATTTTGCTGTACAGATTATTTCGCCAAGTACCTTGGGTGCCATTTAAAAGTAAAAAGCTCTGTCTAAATCAGTGGTCCCCAACCTTTTTGGCACCAGGGACCAGTTTTGTGGAAGAAAATTTTTCTATGGACTTGGGGGGTGGTGGAAGGAGGGGGATGGTTTCAGGATGAAACTGTTCCACCTCAGATCATCAGGTGCTAGATTCTCATAAGGAGTGCTCAGCCTAGATCCCTCACATATGCAGTTCATAACAGGGTTCGCAGTCCTTTGAGAATCTAATGCTACTGCTTATCTGACAGGAGGTGGAGCTCAGGTGGTAATGCTCTCTCACCCATTGCTCACCTCCTGCTGTGCAACCTGGGTTTCTAACAGGCCACAGACCAGTACCTATCTGTCGCCTGGGGGTTGGGGACCCTTGCTTTAAATGTTACAGCTTTTAATGACCATCCTAGAGGTTGAACTTCTGGTCCCCTTAAACAGGTCTTGGAATGTCTTCCTCTTGGGTTGAATTTGAAAATCCTCTGCTATTACAAGAGGTCTAAGACTCCTAATAGCTCTTTCAGACCTGACTCTCACCTTTAATTTTACTCCCCAGTTGTCTTCTCCTCATAGTCCTCCACTAAAGCCTGAACAACAAGGTAGGACCATTCGTTTTATTTCCCCTTTTGTCCTGGCTCATCTTTCTTTATTGCTGATGTGTTATTCTTTGCAGGTAGACAGTTGTTTCCTCCCCCTGCTATCTGTTCTGAGTCAGGGAGAAACGTCAACTTGGGTGACGACTAAGTTAGTGGTCATTGCAAAGTTCTTTAGGAAAAAAAAAAAGTCTTAAAATGTTTAAATTTATATGTCTTACAAATAGTATTATCTGATTAAAGCATAGACTTAGAAATATTCCCTGGCTTCTGAACTTCTCCACTCTTATTGCACTTTGTTTCTATGGTTGTATTGTCAGCTTCTGTGATTTTTTTTGTTGTTGTTGTTTACTGTAACTCTTTGGCAAGCCCTAAGATACAGAAACTTCTTGGCCACCAGTGGTTTGCAGCAGGATAATAGAGATAGGAAACATATTTCATTGCCAATTCTTTCTTAAGATGTAAATAGATGCCAAGTTTCTTCCAGGGGCCAAAGAGGAAAGTACTTTTATATTAAGATAATTTACACAAAGGTTGTTGCATCATTAAAATTGTTGAAGAAAAATTATTCATGACACTTGTTAAAGACAGCAAGGCAGGCTTTATTTAAGAGGGGCCGTAGTAGTAAGTATAAGGACATCTGCAATGGGGTTTTGCAGTAGGGGAGAGAAATTGGACTCATCTTCAACTTCAGCAAGGACAAGTGGGGATTAAATTAAAAAGGAAAATTAAGCTTTCCTATTTAAAGCAGGAGCAGGATGGGAGGTCAGTGAATGAAAACTCACTAAGAGGAGGAAACATCAGGGGTAAAGGGAATTCCTGCTGAAGGCAGGCCAGGGTGATAAGATATCAAGGGTGGTCAGGTACCTCGGTTGGGGGATTTTCACTAACCTGACTTTAAACTGGAGTCTACAAGGACAGAGAGGGAAGCCCAAGGATGGGCCTAGTCAGGCAGAGGACACTGAGGAACCTAACTAAAGTTTTGGTCAAAGGAGAAGTTATTGTCACAACAAATCCTAGAAAAAAAGCAAGCTTCATTCATATCAGCAGTTCTCTATTATAATAGTAAAATTTTCCTTGGAAAATACTGGATTGGGAGATATTTTAGTGAGCACGGCCTTTGGGGTTTGTTACCTCCTTTGGGAGGAGGTAAATGTTGGTTAACTTCTATACAGAACCATCCCTGCGTGGTTTTCTCTTACTATTCAGGCTTGGATTCTACCAGTTAATTTTTACTCTTCTATTATGAATGCTCCTTTCATCAGCAGCATCAAAAGTCTTGCCAGGTCTCTGAAAATCTAGCTGTAGAAACTTCTGGATTCTAGAAGGTTTGATACAATTAGTTTCAATAATGTTTTATAATAATATTGTGTTAGAAAAATCCTGCCTTTTCCTTTTATATGTAATATTATTTCAGATTTCAGACTGTGATGACTTTTGTTCAGGTATGACTCTTAAATACAGCCTGAGATTTGTTTAATACATGGGTGTTTCCAGACATATGAGATACCAAAAAAAGAGGATTAACCATGCAAAACATTGAAGGTTCCACTGACAGTTCTGCCTTAGTGTTGGAAGTAGCTATTGTGTACATTGGCTTCTGAGCACCTTTCTTAAACTCCTGGCCTCGAGTGATCCTCATGCTTCAGCCTCCCAAAGCACTGGGATTACAAGTGTGAGCCACTGTGCTGGCAATGAGCAGCATTTTTATTTGTCTGTATTTACATATGAACAGGTCCTCCCCCTGAGTAACAGGAAAACCAGGTTTGATTTCAGCATTGTCTTATTTTGCTGTATTATTTTTATTTTTATATTTTATTTTATTTGCTGTATTGCTTTTAAACTTGTGTCTTGGTTTCCTACATTCTTGGTCCCAAGTTGGCCCTTCCAGCTCTAATATTTTATGATTATGGAAGATTTATCAGCAAAATTACCAAGTGATTAGTTCAAATTGCAATACCCTCTTTTTCTTTAAGAATAAATTCTGTCAAATAGCTACTTTGGAAAAAAAATCTAGCTTCATAGATGAATTTATTTTGTTAACCTACTTCTTTGAGTCCAGAAACTGTTTTAAAAGGAAGGATTACTTTGATTTAATGATTTTATTTGTAAATCTGCTACTGTACATTTTTTAAAAAAATAAAGGTTTCTGTGAACAAGTTATAGAAAAATGAAATATTGGAGTTGTGAAGGACAGTGATCTTTCCACTAAAATATGAAAAAGGCAAAAGGGCAAACTCATAACTCTGGAAATAGTCATGGCGTCTCTTTACCAAATGCCACACTGTCCGCAAATGTGTGAAGTGTCTCTGAAGGGCTCAGTGGAAATCTAGCCAGGGCAGTACCTCTGAGAGTACACCAACACTGTTGGTAACAGATGACATTTTGGTTATTAATGAAGTAAAGAACTGAAAACAGGAATTTAGTTGGAGACGGTCAGCTGGAGAGTCTATTATTATGTACACAATACTGTAGGTAACCAACTCAGTACTTACAGGACTAAAGGTTAAGACAACTATATTCTTCATGATAATGTCCTGGAAGATTTTTCTCATTTTAAAGCAGTCACTTTTGGCCTTTCTCCTGAACAGACAGATGACAAAAATTGATAAATGAGGAGCAGGTGAATAGAAGACAGAGCACTCTCCTTCAACAAACTGCAGTTTTATTCCTGTACTAGTGAGAATGTATGCAAGATGCTATATAGATTTTTTTTTTACCACAGTTACAAATATAAAAATGTATTAAGCAAATACATAATTTAAATTGAAAGACTAAGGAAGTTCTTTGTTCAAATACAGTTAGTTAGAAATATTGTGGGTAGATGCTATAATATGAAAAAATAGAATCATCTGCCATCTTAACTGGATTTTCAGAGAAATAATAAATGATATTAAAAACATAAAAGTGCTCTATTATAGAACATAAAAAGTTCAGTTGCTGTATTTACTTACATTATTTATGCTTCACACAAATGAAGGAATGGCTAGATTAACCTGCACGGACAACAGTATTATTGGACACTGACTACCTAACATCCAAAATATCAGGCCAGGAGCAATTTCAAGAAGTGTGTGTAGAATGTCTATGAGCTGTGCACTAATTTCCACAAGGTAGGAGTCGAGACGAGATTAAAGACTTGGTCCTTGTTCTTGAGGAATTTATAAGCCCAATAGTCCTGCATAGAAAACCAGAAATACTCTTCCAGTAGAGCACTGGTGCACCCTCTTGTCAGTGTGGCAGACTAGGACATTCCACAAAGGCTGGTACAGGCTTTCCTACTAACCTGCAGATGGAATGCTGTCCAACTCTGCCACAAACTCTTAAAGCCACAATTTCATGTGTTCCTTTCTTGATGGAGGTGCTTATCTACGCACACAGCTATTAGAACATCTCAGCATAACTGAACGTTTGTTCTTGGGGTGAGGATATTATTTATTAAAATAGCTATAACCAATTCTTTTTGTGACTGTTCTAGAAGGGACACATTGCATTTGTCTGACATTATTCACAGTTTTGAATAACTTATTTTGGTGTCTTATATAAGATCATGTGAATTGGCATAGAGGTTATAAAAATAATCTTTGGTAAACCTGTTAATCTCTTATTTCCATTACATAAGCCTCTATTTTCAGAGCATTCACCAACAATTTCTTTATTTAATAAGTGTATCTTATATAGACAATCTTTTAAAAAATAAAATGCCTTATTTGTGTTGCATACATTTATTCCGAGGGAGCCTCCCTACAAGTCAAGAGTATTCTCTTAGCCAGAAATACTTCTATTGCTAGAAACATTTTTAGAACAGAACAGATTTTTCCTGTTATCATGGCTGCATCAAATGTTACCCTGCATTTTAACTAAAATGGCCAAACATTTTCAAAGTCATCATGCACTACAAGAATCTAAGGCAGTGTGTCTAAAATGCCAAACCCAGTACATTTAGTTAAATATCTGGTCAATTCAAAAAGCAAAATAAATTGATTCAATTGTTTAATCAGTTAAACCATCTGGCCAACATAGAGTGAATCCTCAAAAGGGCAACATGTCCTAATAGAAACGTGTGACAGGATTGTCCAAGCACACCCAGGCCACACAGAAGAGATGCCATTTTATCTTCATGATGATGTCTGGTTAGATTCTGTTTTGCAAATATTTTCTCTTTGCATCATTTCACTTGCTTTTTGCAGTCATCGTTTACAGATTTTCCTTTGATAGGGAACATTCTTTGAATACCTGATGTAATTCTAAATTTCAGGTTAAAAATAGCAGGGCAGAAAATTAGCACGGCATTTTCTCCTTCAACTCTTCAGGAATGAGGTAGGCTTGAGGGCTTGCTCACTGCAACTTGGAGGAGGATCAGTTATTCCTTATTGCCACTCTGTCTTGGCTAATCAGTTATATTTTCATTTCCTCAGTGAAATGGAACCCAGAAAGCCCTTGAACTGCTATCATATACAAGCAGTTTATTACCTATTGATTTTCACCAGGTCAGGTTTGGTCTGGCTCATGTTTGTAAACTAAAACTCTAGAGCGTCTCAGAGTTTGGGCTCAGATACTACCACTGCTGTTGTGCAGATCTGGTAGCTTTATGATTTCAGGATTCCAACCTCAAAGAATTCTTAGAAAGCTAAGTGAATGAGAATTTAGTATATGGCCAATAATATTATTGCAAAAGGTAAGGAAAATGTTTAACATAAGAAACTGGATCCTTAAACAGCAAGGCAAGAGAATCAGCATGTGAAGGGTAGCATGTGAGGTCTATTTTTATATTGCTGGACATCTGGTAAATGGTTTAATATTATTTTCACATGTCATTTTGGGCTTTCTTCCGAGAGGTGATTACAAAATTTATCAAAGACCCTCCCAAAGAAAACTGCCCCGAAAATGTCTGTGTGCTGTGTGCCTTTTAGTATTTAAAAGTGAATTGGCCAGGTGCGGTGGCTCACTCTTGTAATCCTAGCACTTTGGGAGGTTGAGGTGGGTGGATCACCTAAGGTCACGAGTTCAAGACCAGCCTGGCCAACATGGTGAAACCCCATCTCTACTAAAAACACAAAAATTAGCCAGACATGGTGGCAGGCACCTGTAATTCCAGCTACTTGGGAGGCTAAGGCAGAATCGCTTGAACCTGGGAGGCGGAGGTTGTAGTGAGCTGAGATTGTGCCACTGCACTCCAGCCTGGGCAACAGAGCAAGACTTCATTTCAAAAAAAAGTGAAATTATGGTCATCTCTTTGATGATGTGGAACCTGAAAGGACTATGAAATTATACTCATGGGTATAAAAGATAATATGAACAGTAGATAAAAATCACATTCAACTGGGAAAACAAACATATTCAAGTAGGAGGAGTGGGGCAAGTAATAAAACAGAGGGACTCAGAGGTTTAAGGGATAGAGAATTACTTAGGACAAATATGTGCAAGCCCAGGTAAGAGAGGTGAGTCTTTGAAAATTCTGATTCAAGAGCTGAACAATTGGCTGCTTTCCAGAGAACAACAGAATGACAATACAAAATTGATTTAATGAGATGAGGTTAAAGGAGTTAATTATAACGAACTTGGAAAAATAATTATTAAGATGCTAGATGGGACTCTCCCAAGATTTGATAGCTCAAAAGCACTTTGAAGTCTTGATGATTAAAGTGTACTGCACAGGTACACAGACAGGATGCCCACCAAGACAGGAAATGGAGTGTTTACCAAGACATAACACATGATGCAATTAAATGGAAATAAATCCAATAGAGCTGAATGTCAAGGAAAACTTTTTTTTTCTCCTAAATTTAATAAATAAGTCAATTATATATTTAGTCTTCCCAGGAGTAGGAGCGAATAGTGAAATATTTGTTGCTAAGAAGGTTTAAAATTAGGTGTAGGGTAGGAATAAACATTTCCTGGGTTGGATTAGACTAAAAAAACCTACGATTTTTCCCTGTCATGTCCATTTACATAATTCTGATACTACCCTAGATGTTGCCAGAGTACGTGAGTGTTATTTACTATTACAGATGCATAGGTTTTTTTTATGGTTTTAACTCCTGGTTTGTGCAATTAATTGCTCTCTCTCCTAGATCCAGAGGTTTGCTATTAAAGTAGCATTAGCACTTTCCAGTGTGTGGCCTGTGGAAGGTGACCACTGTCCTAGACTGGCTCAGTTATCCCATTCCCTTGATGAGGCTGTCTTTTAAGCTCAATTGAAGGTAGTAACAACAATCCTAACTTTATGAGGATTCTCTTTATGTGAGTAGAAATGTGTAGATTCTGGAACAGTGCCTAGCAGGTTGCAGATACTTACTAGAAGTTTTCTGAGTGAATGAAAAGTCGAAAATGAATGTATCCTTCCAAGCATTAATGTGCTTTGCATCAAGCAACATTAGTGTAAAATTCTGCTTTTTCTCTTTTTTCTTTTCAATGTAGGAAAGGTGATTTCTAATGGATGCCACACGTTGTAGATCTCTGACCTCTATTTTCTCGCTGGTGGTACATCTACTGCACTTACACATATGTTGTTCCTTTTCATTTCCAGAAGATTCACTTAGTTCCTTGATACAGAATCAGAGCTTAAGACTGTCATTTCACAAGAGCATTGAGCACAATGAAACTGTGAATCTTTGAAGCTTATGATTATGCTTCACATTTTTGTAAACTTCAAATAACCTTGGAAAAATTTCCAGATTGGGTGTAGAGTTATTTAATTATAAAGAACTATTTTAGGTATAGTCAATGATTTTCAATTATTATGTCAATTACATTCGTTGTATTCACTTACGGACTTTATGGTAGGTTACAAAAATATATACTTTGAAAAGAAATATACTCTTTATGCAAAGGAAGCTATGCCATCAACAAACTTGACCTCTAATTCCCAAGTTTATTACAGAAAAATTTGTAGTGTGAAAAAGGCAAACATCTCCAGCTCATCTTCTCAGGTATCTATGAAGATTCCGTACAAACTCCTTTCAAATTTTTCCCAGGAATGCTGTCGGAACTGGACCTTGATGAAGGAAATACTTTCTGACTCATTGGAATTTGTTATAGTCAAAGTAAGTAAGGCACAAATATTGAAGATAAACTTGGTACAGTATGTAGTGCCTTTTGTTATTAAATGCAACTTTGGGTGATTACTTGACATTTTGACTTCATTGATTTACTAAAAGAAGTTTTGAAAATTTTACTGAAGACCACTGTTTTTGTTTTTGCTATTGTTTTTAAATTTACTATATATGATGTTTGTAGTCATTTCTATGAAAATGTTGGCATTAAGCCTTTTAATGAGGGGCACAATCTGCTACCATAATATTCTTTTAATGGGAAATCAAGTAGGAATGGATAATTGTGACTTTTCTAGGAATGGAGACCACTGAAAATGAGACAGAAACTAGTGTGTATAAATACATTACAGTATGGGTGTGGATGTTCACACTCCACACCATGAATGCAATGAAAGGATCTCTAATCACTGTAGATAGTGCTTTGCATGTTATGTTTCCAGTCTGGGTATAGCTGGCATCTTATTAACAAAAGGAATTCATCACTTCTGTTTGGAATCATTCTCTATCAGAACCCTCAACCCTGCATCCTACCATCCTGGGCTTGCACTGCAAGTTACATGATCCCTGAGCTGACCACTTTGGCTTGAATCCCTGGAAGGAGAAAGGAGAGAGAGAGCAACTAGTTCAGACACAAGCATCTAGTTCAGCTTTGGTACTGCTTAATTCTTTTTTCTCCCTCCCTCTAATCCTTTTTTTGACTGTCACATTTGTCCTAATAGCAAGTTAGGACATGTCTGTTGGCTCTCGAGATTCATGGGACAGCAATGCAGCAAATCTAGCCATAGTATTTGCTCTCTCTAGCCCTGCCCTTTTTCCTGTCCAGTGAATATCAAAACAGGTAGAAAACATGGCCTGAAGGATTGTCTCTGCCACCACCTCCATATGCATTTTACCAGTAGTCCTGTCATACAGGTTGAATTAGTTTTATGTAGAACAAGTCATGAACACTTTAGTGTGGAAAAATAGTATTATATAAAGCTTAATATTAAACATTATGAAAAATACATATTTACAGAAGAAACTACAAAATACAACTATGTACAATAATATCTGTTACCTTTAAATTATATAAAATTTTAAACATTCTCCAGATTAATAAATTATACATAGTATCAACAGAAATAGCTGGCACCTCTGTAGGGCATGAAGCAAGTTTTTAAAAACAAATCACACAGTGAATAATTTTTATCCAGGAGCTCTTCAGGTACATTCTCAATGCCTTGAATAGACTGGATCTGAAAGGAAGAACACTGTAATTAGAGACTGCCGCAGGGTGTGTCATAATTGTTTACGCTGTTTATGAAAATTACCAATGTGAAAGACCAGCAGAAACATATAGCTCAACCTAGTTTAAGATGAGACCATTCCTATTGGGACCAGGTAATTCCATTTAGAAAGACAGATTATTAGACTTGGAAGGGACTAGTGATTCTAGCCCATCGCCTCTGTTTTTATGGATGAAGCCATAGGCCCAGAGAGGCAGAGTAACTTACTCAGGGTTACACAGCTTGTTACAGCTAGTTAGTTCGAGAGTTCGGACCTGAATCTTAGCCTTCAGCTACGTGGTGGTTATCCTTTTCTATACCATAGTTAGCTTCTTTCAGGAGTGCTCAAGATTACTCTAAAAAAAGATTCTTAAGTCAAAACAAGACAAAGGAACCTCCAAGATCCCTCAGAACTTGCTCATACTGAAGCCTCTTAAGGAATCTCCCATGCAAAAACCTTAATTTACTATACAGATCAATTAGGGTGTAATTTGTAATTATTCATAATACAAAATAATTATCTGATTTACAAAGGACTCCTCTAAATAGTAGCTCTTTATTTGTGCTTTACAGATGCTAACTCATTAACATACTGGCTAGGCTGGGTGGTAGAGAGAACTAAGTAAAAGGTTAGGAGACACTACCTGTTGAAGATCATTTAGAATGGAGATAAGAGGGTATGAAATAATGTTTGTCAAAGAAAGATTATCTGATTTATAGAGAGATACCAGTCCACATGGCAAGGAATTGTGGCTGCATCTGCCCACAGCCATGTGAACAAGCCATTATGAAGCGAGTCCTCCAGCCCCAGTCAAACCTTCAGATAATGGCAGCCCCAGTCTAAGTCTTGACTGCAACCTCCTGAAAGACTCTGGGCCAGAGCCACCAGTGAGACAATAAATGCTGATTTAAACTGCTAAATGTTGGGGTAATTTGTTAGGCAGTAATAGATAACTAATACAATCCTCCTTCACATTTGCAGTTTGCCTATGTGATAACTTAGGTCTTCACGATGGCCCAGAGTAAGACGACGCAGGAGGACCCTTCTAGTCATTTAATTATTGCTTGACCAGAACTGTGCCTTGTAAGGTTTGTGTTTTTTTTCTATTGAATTTCCCACTTGAAAAGTGTTATGTGCTTATTCTAGAACATTTATAAAATACAAAAAAATAGAAGGAAAAATAATAATTTTTCTAATGTTCAGGGAAATTTATATTTTCTCCAGTCTTTTTCCTTATGCGTTGTTTTTGTTTTACATCCTGCTTTTCTTTATTTAGCTATTATAACATCCTCAAAAATAGCATTCTTTTGTTTGTTTTTTCTTTTTTTTTTTTTTTTTGAGATGGACTCTTGCTTTGTGGCCCATGCTGGAGTGCAGTGGCATGATCTTGGCTCACTGCAACCTTCGCCTCTCGGGTTCAAGCAGTTCTCCTGCCTCAGCCTCCCAAGTAGCTGGAACTACAGGCACACGTCACCATGCCCGGCTAATTTTTGTATTTTTAGTAGAGATGGGGTTTCGTCATGTTGGCCAGGCTGGTCTTGAGCTCCTGACCTCAGCTGATCACCCACCTTGGCCTCCCAAAGTGCTGGGATTACAGTCTTGAGCCACTATGCCCAACCTGTTTGTTTTTTGAGATACAATCTTGCTCTATCACCCAGGTGGAGTGCAGTGGCACAATTACAGCTCACTGTAGCCTTCAACTCCTGGGCTCAAGTGATTCTCCTGCCTCAGCCTCCCAAGTAGCTGGGACTACAGGTGCACACCATGCCTGGTTAATTTTTAAATTTATTGTAGAGAAGGGGTCTCACTTTGCTGCCCAGGCTTGTCAAACTTTTAGCTACAAAAAGCTTCATGCATAATTTTTTTTTTGTTTTGTATATAGTGTGGTAGGAGAAATACAGGGTCACAAGATAAGAACATATGAAGGACCCTGATACCTTGATTGACAAATTATTTTCCAAAGGGATTTTACAATTTGAACTAGTTGTGATTTCAAAGAATCCTCCCCAAGTAGTAAAGCTTATTGCTTGGAAAAGAAAGGTTAAGCAGAGTCCTTCATAGCAGGCATCCTCAGCTAGGCTGGAAGAGATACCTTGTGAAACTGCTGCTCAGCTGCAGGAACCCCCTCCCTACCCTCCCTCTCTTCCCCGTTGCCACTCTTTATGGGTAGGAGAAGAAATGGGTGGTGTACATTGGAAGAGCTTTAGGTTATTAATGGTTTCCAGAATCTTTTTCTTTTTTCTCTTTTCTTCTCCCCTCCCCTCTCCTCTTCTTTTCTTTTCTTTTTTTTGAGACAGAGTCTCGCTCTTGTTGCCCAGTCTGGAGTGCAGTGGTGGGATCTCGGCCCACTGCAACTTCTACCTCCCAGGTTCAAGCAGTTCTGCCTCAGCCTCCCGAGTAGCTGGGATTACAGGCGTGAGCCACCATGCCTGGCTCTTTTGTACTTTTAGTAGAGATGGGGTTTCATCATGTTGGCCAGGCTGGTCTCGAGGTGATCTGCCCGCCTTGGCCTCCCAAAGTGCTGGTATTACAGGCATGAGCCACTGCACTCAGCTAGAATCTTTTCTTTCTTTCTTTTTTCTTAGAGGCAGGATCTTGCTTTGTCACCCAGGCTGGAGTGCAGTGGTACGATCTCAGCTCACTGTAGCCTTGACCTCCCAAGCCCAAGTGATCCTCCCCCTCAGCCTCCCAAGTAATTGGGACTACGGGCATGCACCATGATGTCTGGCTATTTTTTTTTTTTTTAGTTTTTTGTAGAGATAGGATCTCCCTATGTTGCCCAGGCTGGTTTCAAACTCTTAGGCTCAAGTGATCCTCCTGCCTCAGCCTCCCAAAGTGCTGGGATTACAGGTGTAAGCCTCTATGCCTGGCCAGATTGACCATATCTTGATGAAGAAACTTGGGGAAGTAAGTGAAGTAAGTGCCCACCTCTGTGATACTCTGGATTCACATTTTCATAGATTGGAAACAAGGGGTTTTCTTGTTCACTCCGTAGCTTTCTTGCTCTGAGGACATCTCTTACACACTGATGTAGGTAGACATACTGACACTGTGGAAAAGCAGAAACATGTCAGAGGAGGGCCTGTTCTCATGCATAAGAAAGATGAGAAACTCACAAACTGTTGACAATGATGGGATTATATAGTTAGCAAATTTCTTGAACATCGCTTCACTAATGGTCTCTGGTAAATAAAAGAGTGACTGTCTTTTATTACCACTGAAAAGAGAACAATGGTAATGGGCAGAGAGGTGGCATTTTTCATTCTTTTTATATATATATGTGTGTGTGCATATATGTGTGTATATATGTGTGTATATGTGTGTATATATGTGTGTATATATGTATATATGTGTATATATGTGTATATATGTATGTATATATGTGTGTATATGTATGTATATATATGTGTATATATGTATGTGTATATATGTGTGTGTGTGTGTGTGTATATATATATATAAAATATTCTGTGAGAGCCTACAACTGTGTCTAGTACGTAGTAGGTCCTTTACAAATTGAGTAGATGAACAAATGCCGGACACTCCTATGTAGCTTACGTAAATTACCTCATTTAATGATTTCAAAAACCTTGTGAAGTAAATACAATTATCAGTACAAAGTGAGACTCAAAAGTAACTTCTCCAAGGTCACACAGCTAAGAAATGGGGCCCTAGGGTTTGATCTTGGAGATGTGACCTCAAAGTTCATGTCTTTTTCACTACACCAGTTTTCTTAGATGAATCCCAATTTCATTGCATTACTGAATGAGAAAATCATTTCACTGCATACTCTGCTGGTTTGTTCCCTTTATTCTAGGAAGATAGTGAAAAAAAGGAGGTGTGTACAATAAGCCCCGCTGGACTGTTAGTTCTTTGAGTGCAAGGTCAGTGTCTTATCCACCTCTGTTCTCTCAGCATCTGGGTCTGCCACGTGGAAGAATCTCAAAGATGTTGGCTAACTGCAGAGAACTACAAGGGTTACATAGCGAGGACAGACCCATCTGTTGGCTATTTAAGAATTTACTACTTTTGAAATATAAATAGATATAGAAGAGTCAGTGCTTTGGTGACCATAAAGACCTCCACTGCCACTGTGTCTCAGCCACAGGCAGCCAAGCTTGTGCATTGGGCCCCCTTCCTTATACTCCGTGAGTTCTCTTATAAGGAAATTGATTTCTGCGGAACCTTCCCTTGCTGATAACTTCCCTTGCTGAGCAACTGCTCAGAGGGAGTTGTGAGCAGTGAAGGAGACTGGGCTCTCAGCAGCCTCCAGCCAGGCCAGGCTGAGCCATCAGGCTTCTGGGGATCCCAGTTTCCCCACTTATTAAACAAGGAGGCAAAGGTCTCTTTTATAGCTAACATCCTTTGTCTATTAAAGGATATAGATTGATGTCAGACAGATAGATATTGAAAAATATTTCCAGACCTTGTGTTTAAGGCAATCAGTGTAGTCAGTCTTAAAAGTATTTTAGAGGTTTGAGATACAAAGTAGAACAATTAGCTCTTTCCTCACTAACAATCTTTCCAAGTAAACAGGTACTTATTTTTATGGGTTGGCACTAGATACTGTCCCTGATTGGAACCTAGCTTGGCCAGCTATCCATGGGACTATATAAGGTAGGTCTGGTATAATCAATAGATAAGAACATTTAATTTAATTAATTTATTTATTTTTTAAGAAACAGGGTCTTGTTCTGTCGCCTAAGCTGGAGTACAGTGACACAATCATAGCTCACTGCAGCTTTGAACTCCTGGTCTTAAGTGATTCTCACACCTCAGTCTCCTGAGTAGTTGGGATTATAGGTATGGACCATCAGGCCTGGATAAATTAAAAAAAAATTTTTTTAGCGACAGGATCTTGCTCTGTTGCCCAGGCTGGTCTGAAACTCCTGGCCTCAAGCCATCCTCCTGCCTTGGCCTCCCACACTGCTAGGATTACAGGTGTGTGCCACTGTACCCAGCCTAGAAAAGGACATTTTAAACAAATCAATAAGAAGTGAGGCCTGCAATAATATTGATAACTATTCTCTGCTTTTCTGCTCACAGACCTTTGTCATTTATTATGAATGTTACATGCAATCTCAATCTTGAAAATCTGAGAAAGGTACAATCTGAGAATGGTTGTTAGTATAAAGCAGTCTCTTTTTGCTACCTTAAAAAGGATCCACCAAATTATAGGCTGACACCTCCCTGTTTCCTCCCACCCAAAGCATAATTCATCTTTTCAGTTCTACTGGGATATTACATTACTTTGGGACTTTAGAGGTAAGCTGTGAATGAACTCTAGTGCATCTGTGCTATGGCCTATTAATAAATTCTTTAACAATGATTCACCGTGGGCTTTGAAACAAGTTAATATCTATTAATTTGCCTTGCCTTAAATACAAATTCTTCCTTTCCCAATAGAACGTCCCTTTGAAAATGATTACTACTAAAACGGTGAGATTGTTAATGTGCTTCTCACTTTATTCTTAATGAAAAGTAGACAAAATATATGAATCTCAGATCACAAAAGATAATTTTTTGTTAACTGGTGAAGGCTTGGCTTAGTGTTCACACATTCAGTTCCATTCAATTTCATCAATATTTGGAGTATTAGATATTATTTATAGTATTACAGTCTCTTTGTGATCCCTGAGTGCATGGCTTAGTATTTAGTGAACAAATACCTATAAGATGCTAAACATCAGATACAATTGTGTATAAGGTTTCATACAGGAGAGAAAGCCATTAGGCTCACTTTGAGGGAAGGAAACTATCAAGCTAAAGAGAAAAGGTGATATTTATAAGAATTCAAGCAAAGAAGTAAGGCAACATAACATACAATTTCACATATATTCTGGAAACCATGAGAAGTCTAGTGCAGCTAAAATGCTGGTTGCATGGGTCATGGGAAACCCCTCGAACAATGCCCCAAATGCAACCTGAGGTCCTTAGTCCTACAACATCTCAGTGTTTCCTTCCCAGGAGAAGCAAATGAGATGATTGAGACTGTGACTATCATCTATTGTTCTTTAACAGGTTATTGCTCCCTTAATGTGTCTCTCAGGGTCAGGCTGCAAATTTCCCTCAAAGCAGCATAAAAGAAGAAGGGACACTCACAAATCCCCTGACCAATGCCTCTTTGTTTAGAAATGCTTGCTGTTTGGAAACTTGTGAAGACCTGCATCCCTTTGTATCTCAAATAAAGACAGAGGTAAGTTGAAGTTCACTGTCACCATGGACCCAGAAAAATAATACAAGGGGTCCAAATGTCCTCTGTCTTTTGCTGAAATAGTCACCCACAGGGGCTCAGCCACAGATCACACCCCTCTGCACCCACTCCCATTACCAAATGCCAGCTCTAGCACCAGGGTTTCTGAGCCTGTAGAAACAACTCAACTTCAGCAGAGGCTTAAAGCAAGGCAGATGATACTAGGTTGATGCAAAAGTAATCACGGTTTTTGCCATTAAAAGTAATGCATTTAAATGCCATTAAAATGCAATTAATGCCATTAAAAGTAATGGCAAAAACCGTGACTACTTTTGCACCAACCTAATACCTGGATAGCATTTGGAATTTTGTTTGAGAAAAAAGGGAGAGAGAAAATTTTATCTTACTGCAATGTTTATTTCATTATGATGGAAAGACTGAAAGTGGATTCTGGCCCAGGTGGGTAAACCTTCCTTAATCTGGCAGACCCTAAACACTGGTGGTGGCTAGTACGATGACATGAAGCTGGAGGAGTAAGTAGGGGCCAGGTTATAAAGAAGCTTGTACCCAGGATGAGGTTTGAACTTCATTTTACAAGCAGTGGTGAGCTTTTCACGATTTTTTTGCAGGGAGCTGGCAGAGTCAGCAAGGGAACTTTGATGGTGGCAGTGGTGGCGAAGGATCATTAGGGCAGAGCTGGAGGCAGGAGACCCATTAGGAGGCTACTCATTAGCAGGGCTAATGAGAGTTGATCAAGGGCAGTGGCAGTGGGATGAGGGGCTAGCTCCAAGGGAAGGAAAGGACTTCGTGACTGCTTGGATGTGGGAACTGGAGGAAAAGAAATCCACTCCATTGAGCCCAGGAGTTTGAGTCTAGCCTGGTGAACATAGTGAGATCTTATCTCCCCACGTAAATAAACAAACAAAAAATAGAAATAATAAATAAATGCACATATCCATGCATGTAAGCATGCCAGGTGTGGTGGTGCACATCTGTAGAAGATTGCTTGAGCACAGAGTTTGAGTCCAGTCTGGGCAACATAATGAGACTGCATCCCTTAAAAAATATAAGAAGTCAGCTCCCTGGCTTGGGCAAACACATGGATGGCAATACTATTAAATGAAACTGGAAGGTGCAAAAGCAGGAGGAAGGTTTTTGTTGTTGTTTTCTGTTTTGAAAGAGAATGAGTTTGACTTTGATCTTTTTGAAGTTAGATGGCTATAAGGCTTTTGGGGGGATCCATCTGGTAGGCGGGCATTTACATGTATGCGGAGGCAGGAGATTAGATTTGGGTAACATGAGCATGTACAGGAATGGAGAATATCACAAAGAATGAAGACTGAGAGAAAGGGTGGTGCCTTGAGGACAAAACCTTGGGGAACTCAAACATTAAGAAGGCAAGCTGAGGAACTATGCCACAGTGTCCTCAGTGAGGCAGGAGGAAAAGGAGAACAGAACAGGGAAAAGATGGAGTTATTTCTAAGGAGAAGGAGGAAGAGGAACATTGTGTTACCTCTGCTCTGAAAGTCAGCCAGTGATATTGACAGTAGAGTCCCTCCTAGTTGCCAAAATGCATTATGAGTTTGGGGCAGGTGTATGGAGGTGATACATGGCCCAAGAATCCTTTGACAATTACTAGAGCACACAAATACACACAGTTTGAGACTATTTACAATACGATAACCTCCTCTTTCCCAAGTTACAAATTAATTAGGGTTTGAGTTTGTGAAAGTGACAATAAACTAACAAAATATTAATGCTGACTTTTTAGCAACATAATTGTAGGATATTTGTTCATTCATTTAAAAGATTAAAAAATATTGAGGATATAGAAGAGGAGGAAAACAGGCTCCCACCCTCTAGGAATGCATAGTCTTGTGGAGAAAGCTGAAGGATAATAATTAATAAGAAGGATAATAATTAATAATTATGATACAGGGTTATATAATTCTGCAACCTTTGATGAAATAACAGCGCTAGGCAGAGGTCATCAGTGGCTGCTAAAACCATTAAGTGAAGGGTTGATGGGGATAATGAAGGGTTCAGGCTGACACTGCCTGAACTCACTGTCAGTTTCCTCAGCGCTGAAAGAGAGACAGACATGGTGATCTGCCTTCTGATGTCATGCAACAGAAAGCCCTCAGCACCACCCATGAAGCATTGAGTTTAATCAGGCCTCTAGATCTAACCACCAGCTGACAAAATCCATGGGGAGTAGAGGAAAAATCCATGGGGAGTAGAGGAATATATTACCACCATGAAAAAGCAATCAGCCACATCTAGAATGTGGGAAAATCTGCCGAAGAAATCAGCTGGCTTCTTTAACAAATAAATATCATGGAAAACAAATGGGAGGGAGGATTATAGATTATAGAAAGATTTCAGAGACACTTCAACCAAATGAAATATGTAAACTCTGGATTCTAATGAAAACCAAATATAGTTTTTTATAAAAAGTAATTTTTTGAGATAATTAGGGATATTTAAATACTGACTGGATATTAGGTGAGATTTAGGAATAACGGTTAAGAAAGACATAGATGTGATAATGACATTGTGGTCATAGTTTTAAAGAGTATCTCAAATATACATATATATGTATACATGTTCACATGTACACACTTATATACCCGTACATATGTATATATGCAATATATGTAATATCACATATGCATACAAATGTACACATATAGGTGTATACATATACACATGCACATATACACATGTACACATATATGCAATATGACATGTATTACACACATACATATATACATACACACGTGTACACATACATATGTGTATATAAGTATATGTGTATTTAAGGATGAGATAATATGATAAGTGGGATTTGCTTTAAAATATTTCAGTGGGATAAGGTCATGGGGTAGGGGAACATTAAATGTGGGATACAGATGGGAAAAGAACACAGAATACTGATAATTGTAGAAGCAGGGGTTTGGGTACATGGAAACTCACTATACTATTTTTCCTAGTTTTGTGTATTTTCTTTTTAAAAATTTTTTGTGGAGATGGGCTCTTGCTATGTGGCCTAGGCTGGTGTCAAACTCCTGGCCTCAAGTGATCTGCCCCTCTCCAGGCCTCCCAAAGCACCAGGATTACAGGCATGAGCCACTGTACCCAGCCATGTTTTGTATATTTTTTCAAAACAATTTCATAATAAAACATTCAAAATATGGTAGAATCATTGTTATAATGAAAGTACTCCCAGCCCAGGACAATAGTGGTGGCAGAGGTTCCTGCCTGCAGGAGGCAATGATGCCATTGTTTTGTCAAATGTGAGTTCTGCAGAATATTTTTAATTTTTATTTTCATTTCTCTGGTTCAATTGTTACTGGCTTGAATGCAGGATATTAATATGTGCTGCACAAGAAAAGAATTCAGGGGTCAAGGTGGTTTTGGGATTAGTGGGTTCAATAAAGCTCAAAGGGGGCCTTGGCTGCAGGAAGCTCTCTTTTTATGGAGCATTGCTGTCTGTGCATTGTCCTTGGGTACTGTGGCTCTAAGAGGGGACACAGAAGCATGTAGAACTTTTTACTTTTCCAACCATGGATTTTTTTTTTTAATACAGAGGATTTTGCTTAGTTACTTGGAGAAAAACTTGTGAAACACGAGGGTAAGAGAATTTGAGCCTTAGAAGGCATTGATGCAGAGGAGTGAATGCTTGGTCTCTATTGAGGAAGAGATCTGACCCTGAGGCTAGTACGCTTATAGCACAATCAAGGGCCCAGGTTTCTCTAGAATAGTGGCCAAGCCACCTCAGCCACTTCATGGCTGTGGGCTTTGTGCAAAGCCCTTAAGCTTTTGGACCTTCATTTTCTAGTCTGGAAGTAGAATATAATATGTCTCGCTTGGTTATTGTGAAAATTTAATGAGATAACATGTTCAAAAATGCCCTGCAAATGTCAAAGTGCTGCACAAATGGAAGCACGTGGTCTTTACCATCTACATACACTCCCTTGGGGTCTCCTGAAATGGGGGTGTAGGTGGAGGGAGTGGGGCTGGGGGAGAGAAGAGATTGGGATCTTCTTCTTTCCTAAGTGAAGTTCTTATGCTCATCTGCCAGCCTATCTTAAAATGATCCCCAAGATGGTCACCTTCAAGACCAGTGAGATTTGTTTTAAAATAACAAGTCTTAGAAAATATCTACATGCAGTTCTTTTTTTCTCTTCCTAATGTGTCATAGTTATTTCCCCTTGTCAGATTAAGGTCCTGGATATTTTTTTGTGGGAATACAGTGGGGAGGAGGGTGGCCTGTAACTTTCAGTCTATAACTCTTACCTCAGTCTGGACCATGTGAACCCTGTGAAGTCTTAGGTCGTGCACTGCTCCATAAATGTCCACAGAGTCTTTGGAGTCTAACTGCTGGAGGATTCGGTCCAATGCAATAAAGGTTCCAGTCCTACCCACACCAGCACTAGAAGAGATGGCAAAGGAAGATTGAGCCTTTTTATTAAATTTGCCTTTCAAGATTGCATCTAGAGACTCTGGCACAATCTTTTTTTTCCCTTCCCAGTTATGGGAGAAGATAGGAATATTTCTTTCTCTCAAATAAGTTTAACCTAGAGTCCCCCAACCCCACCCCCCCACAGCCTTCTATCTCTTTCCACTCCCTTCCTGTCCCTCCTCCACTCTACCAGGGATAAGTACTGCTCTGCACTTACTGTGTATCATTTCCACGCATGTTTTTAATACTTTTCCTACATACAGGTAAATCTATAAACATTTATGTTTGAAAAATCTACTGAAATGGTAACATATGTGCTTTAGGTATCTTTTTGTCAACTTTCCTACTCAATATTATGTTTTCAGATTTATCTATATTGCTACATATAGATCTTCTCGTTTCTTCTTTCCTTCCTTCTTTCTTTCTCTCTCCTTCCTTCCTCCCTCCCTCTTTCCGTCCTTCACAGGGTCTTGCTCTGTTGCCCAGGCTGGAGTGCAGTGGCACAAGCATAGCTCACTGCAGCCTCGACCTCCCAGGTTCAAGCAGTCCTCTCACCTCAGCCTCCTGAGTAGCTGGGACCACAGGCATGTGTAACTACTCCCAGCTAATTAAAAAAAAAGACTTGTAGAGATAAGGTCTCCCTAATAGTTGCCCAGCTTGGTCTTGAACTCCTGGCCTCAAGTGATCCTTCCACTTTGGCCTCCAAAGTGCTGGGATTAGAGGCAGGATATACCACACCCAGCTGATCTAATTTCTTTTAATTAATTCTCTTCATAAACCACTGCTAATCCAGTGGCAGTGAGATCATTTTAAATTTTTCTCTATTAAAACATGTGTTGCAAAGAACATGAATATATGTGGAGATTTCTCAGGGGTCAACACCTAGAAGCAGAACTCTTGGGTTGGTCATGGGCATGAACACCTTCAGCTGCACTAGGGATTGCCAAATTCCTCCCCAAAATGGTTGTGTCATCTGGGGATTTTTGATACACACATTTATAAGATAACAGTTCTCCAGTGGTCCTGGACAAAAATGCCTGCCATTTTTCAAAAAGCAGAAAGCTCTGAGGTGAGTGCCTCACCTTCCTATTAAAAGTGTCAAGGTTCCAAGGACATAGGAAAGCAGGGCTCCTAGGGTGCTGGGCTGACAGGGAGGAGATGAGTACACTTGGCATTTCTCTTACTGCTGCAGTTCCCTGCTCCATATTTATTAGTGCCATTCAGTTAGGGCTATCAAAATGTTGCTGCAAACATTAATTTGCTAGATACCAGGCTCGCCAGAGAGAGAGAGATTTCACTTGTTAGGTTGATTTTCTGGACAGACTGAAGCAAAGAGAAATCAAGAGAACAAATTTAAGAGAAAAAATTAGGTGCTACAGGTGGCAATTGCTGTGCTGTGGTTTGAATGTTTGTGTCCCCTCCAAAAATTCATGTTGAAACTTAATCTTCAATGCAACAGTATTAAGAGGTGGAGGAGGTGATTAGGTCATGAGGGCTCTGCCCTCATGAACGGGACTGGTGCCTTGTGAAACAGTTGGAGGGAACTAGCTAGGTTCTTTTGCCCTTCCATCCCTCCCTCTATGTGAGGACACAGCCTTTGTCTGCTCTGGAGGACACAGTAACAAGGCACCATCTTGGAAGCAGAGACTAAGCTCTCAACAGACACTGAAGCTGCCAGTGCCTTGATTTTGGACTTCCAGCCTCTAGACTATGACAGATAAATTTCTATTATTTATTATCCAGTCTGTGGTATTTTGTTTTAGCAGCACAAATAGACAAAGACATGCTACTAGACCTGGAGGGAAGATTAGAAAATAAATCTTGAAGGATAGGTAGGACTTAGGTGGAGAAGAGAGATAAAGCCATTCCAAAATGGAAGAATGGCCAGAGGCAAGAATAAGCTTGTGTGCTCACTTTCCTGGCTAGAATGTGAAGGGAGTTATTGGGAACTTAGATTGAAGGTGATATGCCTGATGATGGAAAGCATGGAATTCCCATCAGGACTTTGCATTTCAGAAAGTAGGAAAAAAGCAAGAGGGAGAGAGAAGGCTGGAGAGTGAGGATGAGAGAGAGGCTACAGGGGAAGAAAGTGGAAAAGAAGTCAGGGAAGAGAAATGATGTTGGCAGAAGGGGAGGAACGTTATAAAACCCTCTGGGGGCGAGGCAGGCTGGTTGGTCCAGACAAATCCTCCACCCACCAAATTCCCCATGCTTATGTATTTTTCCAGACTCCCAGGCACAACCCCCTTATGGCTGCCATTTTATTGGCTGCTAGGTTTCCTAGTACCTGCAGTGCACCACAGTGGGCCCAGCACCCGGGCTTCTGTTGATGTAGTCCCTGACAGTTCTCACAAACTGGATCAGAGACTGGGTGGTTTCTGGGACTCCATGGTCTGGCCACACCGTATAGTGAAAGTGGCGGATGAGTCTGTGTGCATCAAGCTGTTCCTCCTGTAAGAGCAGAGAGCAGGATAAAAGAGGAACTGTCCAATGCAAACCTTCAAACTTGACAGCTGAGCCATGGAGCAACTCCTATGGGCTGAAACTACAAGAGAGGAACCAGCGAAAGTGGGGTTCACAGATCTCATTCATCTCCCCAAGCTCGGTTGTTAAGTCAAGCAAGCTAACATACACCGCATATCTTAAACTCCCGGATGGTCCACTCAGGCAGGACGGACTCTGAGAGCATCTGCAGGATGAGGTCCCCATAGTAGAGGGAATCCTGGTCCGCTGGCCAGTAATGATCACACTTTACCTAGAACAGGACAGACAGAAAAAACATGAGTCCGGAAAAGTGACTCCTTGGTGAACCTGGGGTTTCCCTCCTCTAAATGTCTTCCAAAGTTAGGAATCTGGGATCAGCTGCTAAAGCAATTTGACCATCTACTTTATATTAACCTTCTCATGGCCAGTGCTGAAGCTGAGGTGCTGCTCCAAGTGAAGGGGAGAGCCTGTACAAGGAGCACCCCTGACTCCAACCTTTGGGTTCACTCATTTTTTAGGCCCAGTAATATATGGCTTGAGTTTTTTTTTTTTTTTTTTTTTTTTTTCCCCTCAGCATTTCAGTTCCACTAGCAGGTAAACTGTGGTTCACAACGTATTGTTCTTTCTAAAGAAAGAAATATCTAGTTGGGTAGAGGAAGGCACTGTCTTCCTGGCCCTTCTTCGTTCATATTTTTATGTCACTGTCCTAACGTGGGCCGTGTGCCAAGAGATCTTTGAGAAGTTAGAACGTTTAGCTAAGCTCGCCTTTACATGTATACAGACAAGGGGAAGAGGAATGTAAGCATATGTTTACTGAGCGCAGATACTAGGCACTTTATACGTAATCTCTCTTTTAATCCTCAATCTTTTAATCCTCAAAATAACCATATAAAGTAGAGGATGGTAAGTGCATTACAAGGGGGTTTGGTTGATTTGTCTGGATTATTATTTTACTTTGTGTCTGCCAACACAGTCTACAACTCACTTCTCCTTTCCTGGGATGAGGGGCAGGTCCAGTGACTCTGGCAGGGTCTCTCCTCCAGCCAGACACTGAAGAATGGAGTAGCCAAGTGGCCAGGTAATTTTTGGTGTAATGGGCACTGCCACTAATCCCAGTCCTCAAATGGAAACAGCTTTGACTGGAACTTCAGACCCAGAATCAGAATCAGGCATCACTTGGGTTTACTATTAGAGTCTTTTGAACAGAGTGGTATAAGTCACTAACAATGCTCTCACATGATCCCTACGTTGTTTTGCGGGGTTTCACTTTGATGATGGGGCAGAATTCTATCCAGGTGGCAGAAAGCAAAGCTTTGATGCCAGGAAGGCTGTTTACTCACTCGGCCCTTCTCAACACACTGGGTCACCATGACGATGTTGTGAACGTTTTGTTCCCACACCATTTTCCAGAAGTCATCCTTGGTGCCAGGAAGCGGTCCCTGAGTGACAATGTATTCTCTTCTGAAGTTGTTGCCCTGCAATGAATTTACAATATGGAGAGTCAGAAACAATGGGCCTCTTCAGAACTATAAACAAAGAGTTCTTCAGATTAGATGATAGGGAGGTCTCTGCCAAGTCTCTGACTTCAGAAAAAGATACTAACACAAGTGTCAATGCTTGGGAGCAGGAAGGACAAAGGTCAGAACATTGAACTAGTGTTAAGAGCCACATTCCCTTTTACTTGCCTGGGTCTATTCTGAAAGCAAATGGGGGACTTAGGCAATGATCTAGAAAACACTTCACCCTCAATTATATGTGTGTGTTGGGGGGTATTTGTGTAGACTGTTGGAGGGACTGTAATCAGGCTCTTTCCCTATTTAATGTAGAAGAGTGTTAGTCATTTTGGATAATCAATGTCAGAATAATTTGGTAAGATATATCATCCACAGGAAGCATCACGGAAGAGAAACTGTTGACTGAGCGTCTACCATCTAATGTGTCGCAGGTCAGGACTTATTTAATCCAAACCACAGTCCAAGAGCGGGATATTTTCATCTACTCCTTCTGCACTCCGGCAATGACAGCAATTCCTTGTCAATTCTAATCGAAGCTCTTTCTCTTTGCCTTTCCTCAGGGTCTCCACATTATGTCACCTCTGCCATCGCCACCCCCGCCCACCCAAACACTGCTTCTCATCTGACCAATCCTTACTTATCCTCAGCATGGTGCCTGCTTGGCTGAGCCTTCTTTTATCTTTCTCTCTGCTGGGGGATATTCTCCAAGATGCCCCATGGCAATCTCTAGCCTCTCGCTACTGAGTGCCGTTCTCAGACCAGCAGCACTGAAATCACCAAGAGGCTTGTCAGAAATGCAGACTCGGCCGGGCGCAGTGGCTCACCCCTGTAATCCCAGCACTTTGGGAGGCCAAGGCGGGCGGATCATGAGGTCAGGAGATGGAGATCTTCCTGGCTAACACGGTGAAACCCCGTCTCTACTAAAAATACAAAAAAATATTAGCCAGGCGTGGTGGCAGGTGCCTGTAGTCTCAGCTACTCGGGCGGCTGAGGCAGGAGAATGGCGTGAACCCGGGAGGCGGAGCTTGCAGTGAGCAGAGATCGCGCCACTGCACTACAGCCTGGCAGACAGAGCAAGACCATCTCAAAAAAAAAAAAAAAAAAAAAAAAGAAAGAAATACAGATTCCCAGGCCCTGCCTCAGCCCTGATGGATCAGAATCTGCCTTTTCACAAGATCCTCAGATGGCGCAGACATCTTTCAATGTAGGAGAGGCACTGCTGTGGCAGGTTTCCCATGCCATTGCCTTTTCTTGCCTCAACTCTTCTGAGAGTTCCTTTAGGGTCAGGATTCCATCTTATCCCATGCCTGTAAACAGCTCAGTTAGCACTTAATTTCTAAGTGTTTATTGAGTGAATGGATGGTTGCTTGAGGTATGAGGTAAATATTATTATCATCAGTTTTTGGAAAAGAAAATGGAGGCCCAAAAAGGTGACATAATGTGCCCAAGGTCACAGAATCAACAAGGGGCAGAAGTGGGATTCAAACCTAGATTTGTTTGACCCGAAAGCTTTTTCCACTGCAGTATGCCATAGGAAGGTGGCAAGATGCTAACCAAAACCAGAGCCCAAAGATTTGATATAACCTTTGAGTTGTGTCTGTGGTTGTGAAGATTCCAAATAACATGGGATCAGCTTCTCTAGCTAGGCAGCTTTAGCAGGGGAGGTCCATCTTCCTTAGGAAGCTCTCATCTTGGTTAAGGACTGCAGAGAGTAGATGATCTATGAAAATGCATCTTGGGCTCATAATTTCATTTGACTATAGCCATTGTGAAAAATGTGGCGTAGCAGGAACTGAATTGGATACCCCATTTTTTTTATGGCATTCAGATGTGCTCTTCTGAAATCTACAGGTGTTTCCAGACCTAAGAATAACAGGAACATGGAGGAGTGGCATCTCCAGTGTAGCCACCCACCAAAGCCTCATCCTGAACACTATGGCCTAGTGGGTCACTTACAGGGATGTAGCTGGCATTGATGTAGTCAGAGCAAGGATCATCATCTACATTGGAGAGCTTCACTCGCGTGGCATCATCTGGAAGGAGAGATTTGCTGCTGAGTCTTGGAGTGACTTTTCTACAGTTTATGTGATGTGTGTGATGTGCCTTAGCTCTGATCCCCACAACAGCCACAGATGGGAAGTGATCTTATCTCCATTTTGCAGATGAGGCTCAGGCAGGATAACTAACTTGCCCCATGTTGCATAGGTGGCCTATAACCAGTCAGACACAGGAGACAACATGAAGCCCCATCTGTGCTTCCCTTTCTGACATTACCACATTTGCCTGATGGAGTGGCCAGCTCCCTTTCACTGCTGGAATGAATACAATCCAGAAAACCTACCTTCTATTGCTTTACCTAATGGGGTAAGGAAATTTAAGTAGAAATTGCTAACCGAAGACTTTGCTAAGCAAACCCAGGTCTGCTTGATGTCAGAGCCCTTGCTGTTAACCCCATTTACTGCTTAGCCTCCAAAGAGAAGCAATAGCATCACATGGGGAAATGTCAACAGCATAAGAGGACTTTCATAATCAGAATTTAAACTGGCTATTATCCCTCTGGAGGGAAGTGCAGGAATATACAAGCTATTTCTTATTAAAGGCATTCAGAGCTTGAGATTGTCCATATCGAGCTATATTATATTTCTTTAGCCTCATTTCATTTTTGGAGAAAAATGCAGAAATGGCTAGAGGAAGACAGTATTACAAATTTTGACACAAAACTTACAGGGCAATATATTGTTGTATCGATTTTTCCCTCTATTCTCCGGCAAGAGTGCAATGTCACATGACTGGTTTCGGCCCACGTCTTTTAACTCCTGTTAGGTCAAATATGAGTTTGTAAGTGGAGAATATGAAATAGAATAAAGCAAATCATACAGTCCTGGAGATAACATAATAACATGAAAATATATACACTAGCTATTGTTTATGAATGCCTAGTACTCAACATGCATTAGCCCTGATCCCCACAACAGCCCCACAAGGGAGGTGGTGGTCTCACTATTTTACAGGTGAGGCTCAGTCAGGATAACTGATGTGCCCCAGGTCACCCAAGTGGCAAACCTGAGAATCAGTTCCAAAAGCTACGTGCTTTTTGCGAAACCACGGCATCTTCCAGCCAAGCAAATGGCCAGGCTGAATATCTGACAGCTTTAGGTCTGCATTTGAGATTTGTTAATTCTTCCTTACTATCTGATCCAGGTAGCCCTTGGTTTGCTGTGTTATTCTGGAGCTCAAGCTGGCCTCTAAGATTAGATGGTATATTCTATTCAGGGCATAGTTTAGGCATAAAAGAGTGCTCAGCTGAGATTCTAAGCAGCCTCCTAACTTCTGAGCTCAATCAGCCTATGATGACACAGTAAACATTAGGAAGGAAATTCTGCTAAGAACTAGGGATGCTGAAGCTTCATTCTGCCTGAGTTGTACCTCGTATTCCTTGGATAGAAGGTAGTTGGAGTCAGCCTGTAGCTTCATGAAATGCCCTTCAAACTGATTTATTTTTATTGGACTGTAATTAAAAATGAAACAAACAGAAAAGAGTTACTGCAGAAAAGGGAAAGTGCCATAACTATTCTGACTCATATTTCAAAGGCAGATAATATAGTAATTAATGTGTTCTCTCTCTTACCAAGAAGTTTTCCGGTTACTGTGAAGAGAAGCCAAAAGAGGAAGACTTTGTTAGCAAATTTCACATAATACCATCTTTCAACAAATTATACGAAGGCAAATGTGGTGCTTACCCTTTCTGGCCCAGGTTTAAGTGGACAGATAATGGTCGATCCCTACGAATGCTCAGACGGGCAGAGGGTCTTTCTCGACCATGGCTGAAACATAAGGGAGATAACTTTTATTCTGATTATGATACTTGGCTTGAACAAATTTTTCCATTTATGGTAAGGCTGTGGATGTTTGTGCAAATATGGATTTTTCAGTATTCATACAGATTTGCACTCAGCCAACATCTCTGAGGGAGGGAAAGGAAAGAGAATAAAGTAGATCATTCCCACCCAGAAACGGATCTCTGCAAAAACTGAAGATTTGTCTCCTGGTTTTTGGCTACAGGTTATAATCACTTCCCACATTCTCAATAAAACTTTGCTTTAAAAAAATCCAGTAAATTTCAGATGCCAGACACGACTTCAATAAAGAGGAACATGTGCCAAATTAAGAAAAAAAATTCACTAAGAGAAGAAGGCACGACACTTGGGGCCACATGCTATTTGGTTCTTTTTGGTCCCTTCTTAAATTAGGATGGCAGATATGAACTACAAAATGGTGATGTCAACCACACTTTTCAGGATATTTCAGAAAAGCACTTGGGCATGCAATTTGCAAACATCTCTGTCTTCATGAGGATATGAACCACACACACACACAAAATATTTTTTTCCTGTGCAAAAGGAGTCACTTCATCTTTAAATAAAGCTATAGATGGCCCCTCAGTCCTTTGGTAAGGGCTGAATTCATCAATGGGATATAAAAGAGCTGAGAAAAGTGAGTCATGGCTTTAGAGTTTGACTTGTTTTTATTGAGAAAACAGTGACAATTTAACCTGGAAAAATTAAATTATTTTCCCTTCTTAGTTTTCAGCCTAAAGGGAATTTTCAGTTGCATTTTTAAAGTTGTGGGTCCAATCACCAAAAGGATCTTTGTACTTACCTCACTTTCTGTCTGCAGATCAATAAGGCAACAACAGCCACTAGCATGCCAATTAAAAACAGACCAGCACTCACACCTTCAATAGCTCCAAACAAGGGCTCTACAATAATCCAGATAGAAACAACAAACGCAGGTGGGAAAATTAGTGCTAGGGAACCAGTAAGAAAGCTATTGAAGCCATATCTCCCAAGTAATGTTATTACAAATAGAATTCAAGTGATGCCCACGATGAGGCATTTACTTTCCAAAGGCTCTGAGTATGCACCTAAGAAGATGATGAAAGGCTGGCTCCCACCCTGTAGCAGTGAGGCCAGGTGTCACTGCATACTTTTGAAGTTAATGTTGCATAGCTTATAGAGGAATTTTGGACTTTGCACTTGTATATAAAGCTTGGGGCACCTGAGATAAAGGCCATAAGTTTGCCACCAAGATAAAAATGCCATTTCATTTATATAAAACATGTTACACAGCATCTGGGGCTTTGGAAAATCCAGTGGATTGCTTGGAGCTATTCTAAGAAGTCTTATTTTTATTATCTGGTATGGTAACGCTACTGGGAGTTTATGAAGAGGTAAGAGTGGCCTCATTTTTAAAATAGCTTTATTGAAATATCATTCATATAGCATGCAACTCACCCATCTAAGTTGTACAATTCAGTGGTCTTTAGTATAGTCAAAGTTTTGCAAATGTCACCACAATCAATTTTAAAACATTTTCATCACCCTCAAAAGAAACCGCGTACCTATTAGCAGTCAGTCCCACTCCTCCCTCCCCGCGATCCCTGGCAACCACTAATCTACTTTCTGTGTCTGTGGATTTGCCTATTCTGGATGTTTCATAGAAATGAAATCATAAATCTGTGATCTTTTGGGACTGGCTCCTTTCATTTAGCATAATGTTTTCAAGGTTCATCCATGTTATAGCATATACCAAGATTTCATTCCTTTTTATGGTTGAATAATCGTCCATTGTATGGATATATCACATTTTGTTTATCCATTGATGGACATTTAAATTGCTTCTACTTTTTGGCGATTATGAATAATGCTGCTATGAACATTCATGTACAAGTTTCTATGTGGACATATGTTTTCATTTCTCCTGGGTATATACTGAGGAGTGAAATTGCTGGGTCGTATGGTAACTCTAGGTTTAATATTTCTATAAACTGTTTTTCAAAGCAGTGACACCATTTTACATTCTCATAAGCAGTGTATGGAAGGTTCTGATTTCTTCATATCCTCACTAACTCTTGTTACTGTCTTTTTGATTATAGCCATGCTACTGGGTGTGAAGTGGTATCTTCTTGTGATTTTGATTTGCATTTCCCTAATGATTCATGATGTTGAGCATCTTTTCATGTGCTTATTAGTCAACTGTATATCTTCTTTGGAGACATGTCTATTCAGAGCCTTTGCCCATTTAAATATTGTGTAATTTGGCTGGGCACGGTGGCTCATACCTGTAATCCCAGCATTTTGGGAGGCTGAGGCAGGCAGATCACGAAGCCAGGAGTTCGAGACCAGCCTGGCCAACATGGTGAAACCTTGTCTCTACTAAAAATACAAAAATTAGCCGGGTGTGGTGGCGCATGCCTGTAGTCCCAGCTACTGGGGAGGCTGAGGCAGGAGAATTGCTTGAATTTGGGAGGTGGAGGTTGCATTGAGCCAAGGTGGCATCACCGCACTACAGCCTGGGTGACAGAGCAAGACTCCGTCTTGAAAAAAAAAAAATATATATATATATATGGCCTGGCGTGGTGGCTTACGCCTGTAATCCCAGCACTTTGGGAGGCCGAGACAGGTGGATCACAAGGTCAGGAGATCGAGAACATCCTGGCCAACACGTGAAACCCTGTCTCTACTAAAAATATAAAAAAATTAGCCAGGCGTGGTGGCGGGCGCCTGTAGTCCCTGCTACTTAGGAGGCTGAGGCAGGAGAATGGCGTGAACCTGGGAGGCGGAGCTTGCAGCGAGCCGAGATCGCACCACTGCACTCCAGCCTGGGCGACAGAGCGAGACTTTCTCAAAAAAAAGGAAAAAAAAAAAGGAAAAAAATATATATATTACACTATATATATAGTGTAATTTGTGTTTTTATTATTAAATTGTGAGGTAAGAGTTCTTTATATGCTATTCAGCCCTTATCAGATATGTGATTTGGAAAATAAATATTTTCTTCCTATTCTGTAGGTTGTCTTTTTACTTTGCTGATAGTGTCCTTTGAAGCACAAGTTTTTAATTTTGATTAAATCCAGAGTATCCATTTTTTCTTTTGTAGCTTATGCTTTTGGTGTCCTATCTAAAAAGCTATTTTCTAATCCAAGGTTACAAAGATTTACACCTATGTTTTCTTGTAAAAGTGTTACTGTGTTATCCCTTAAATTTAGGTCTATGAAGTGGCCCATTTTTGAAGTTGCATTTTAAGATCTTAGATTTGTTTGTTCCATGTTGCTTTTCAAGACTCATCAAATCAACACAATCATCTTTCCTTGAATGTAGTTAATATCCTTTTTTGAATATACGTTTACTGTCTTCCTGTACTGGACTACATGCAATTTTTGTCATGTAACAGTATTTCAAAAAGGAAAGAATTGTGTTTACAAAGTCCCTACATTAAATTATAAGTAAAGACATCTAAATCCTCTTAACTGTGTTCTCATCCCCCTTTAGCTTGAAATTGGGAGATTATCCCTATATTTGGCATAAATAGATTGGAATGTTTGTGAGGCTGAGTCATCGTTTGTCATGCAGCACGAGAGACAGTTTTAGCTGTAAAGAACTTCCCAGACCTAGAGATCAAGCATTGCAGAACACGGATTACAGGAAAAGGCTACGCAGACGATGGTGTTGGGAGGGAAGGTGATGAAATGATGCTATTCTCAGCCTGGTGGAAGTATTCAGAGACAGGGCAGTGCAGAGGTTGTACGCTTGGGCAGAAAGTGCCAGAATTTCAGCTGCACCATCTTGGGCAAATTACTTAATCTCTTGGTGCCTCATGTCCTCATCTTTAAGATGGGGATGATAATAGCATCTAGCTCAAAAGACTGTCATGAGAATTGGACAAGTTATCCCATGTAAAATGCTTAAAACTATGTCTCCATAGAGAAGGTGAACAGTAAATACTAGCCACTATTATTACTCAGGCTTTCCCTCTAACACACTAGAGAAGTCTCTTTCAGAAATTGTTATGCACAGTCTTTTATATTAATGGTTTTTAGTACTACAAAGTCAACACATAATAAGCAAAAGGAAGAAAAATCACCTGTATTTCCATTACTTTGAGATACACATCATTAATACTTTGGTGTTTTTTTCTTTTAGTCTTTTTTTCCTGAGCATTTCTGTGTATATGCATATATACATTCTCACTTTTAACTGAAAGTGTTTTGTAGTAACTTATATTTTGGCCTGTGAAAACTCTTGATTTTAATGGTTTTCACTCACTATTTAGAAAATAATTCATTTTTAATAGAAAAAAATACTGTACTTCCACCTTCTTTTTAGATTAACCCCCTTTCAATCCATTCTTCTAGAGAGGTTGTACAATCCCTTTGATCCACATCAATTTTTGGTCACATAAAGATTAAGTTCCAAATGAAAATAAATGTTCCCCCCACCATCAGCCAATATCTCCCCATTAGAGGCTCTTGTAGGTGACATGGCAGTTGGTAGAACATGATGTAAAGGTTAGCCTTACCTGATTCAGTAGTGATGGGTAAAGAAAAAAATGTGTCTGAATAGAGTGGCTTTGTGAATTCCTTCAGGTCCTCATCAAAGAGCTGTGTAAAAGCTCGAATGCTGATTCTGAAAAGAAAACCGATTTATTTAAATATAAATTAGTTGTTGAACACAGTAGCTGAAAAATGTGTTCAAGGAGAAATAGGGCGGGTTCCTGGTCAGTGGGTAGCAGGGTAGAATATGAGTTATGGAATCGGATAGACCTGGGTTCATGCATTCATTCATCAATTTATTCATAAATATTTATTGAGCCCCTGCCACACGCCAATCACTGTTCTAGTAGCTGGGACTTTGCAAGGAACAAAACAAAGTCCCTGCCATTCCAGAGGTTACATTCTCATGGAGGAAGTCAGACAATAAACACACAAATATAATAAATCAGATGAGATGTGTGCTATGAAAAAGAAAAGAGCAGGGTAAGGAAGATGGAAAGCAATGGGAATAAAGCATGTGGGACTGCTTCATTCAGAATGGTAGTGATGAAGGCAGTGAGTGAGAAGTGTTGGATATATCAAAGGAAGAACTAAAAGATTTGCTGATGAATATAGAGTATGGATGATTCCACATGTTCTGGATGGGGAACAACTGGAAGAATGGAGGTGTCACCTACTAACATGAGGGAAAACTATTGAGAAGTAGACTGGGGGGTTTGGGAAGATCCAGACAGATCAGTTGTGGAGGAAGTAATTCCGAGATGCCCATTAGAGAAGTCAAGTGGCCCAAATATCAATATTATTGTTGTTGTTATTTTAACTTACATATCTTTTGGCACTATTTTCTAAAGATCATTTTATCTAAAAATATTCTAATATCATATTTATTGTCAACAGGAAATATTTGTTAAAGCACTGCTTTATAAATTGCTGAAGTTAAAAAGAGATGTATGGTCACTAGTCTTGGAAACTTGAAAGACAAAATACAAAGGAATCAGGCAAATAGCAAAATAAGAAAGCATATATACAATGGCAAATGAGGAATGGTAGAATATGGAGGAAACAGTGTGTGTGGGCATAGGAGGTGAGGTGGCTGGAGCAGAGAGCTCAATGAAGAGACTGCTGG
Source organism: Homo sapiens (assembly GCF_000001405.40). Taxonomy (NCBI): domain Eukaryota; kingdom Metazoa; phylum Chordata; class Mammalia; order Primates; family Hominidae; genus Homo; species Homo sapiens. The sequence continues at coordinate 70,545,657 of NC_000012.12, forward strand.
GATAGTCAGGCCAAGGACACAGGGCCCTGGCCAGGAGCCCTGGCAATGAGAATGGAAAGAAGACTGTGAAAGGCACTGAGAGGAGGAACTAGATGGGGCCCAGACTGAAGAGAAGCAGGGGAGAATCAAGGATGGCCTAAGACTTGAGCTCATGTCACTCAAGAGAACAGTGGGATCATTGATAGAAATAAGGAGACAGGCTGGGAGCGGTGGCTCACGCCTGTAATCCCAGCACTTTGGGAGGCCAAGGCAGGCAGATCACCTGAGGTCAGGAGTTCGAGATCAGCCTGGCCAACGTGGCAAAACCCCGTCTCTACTAAAAATACAAAAATTAGCCAGGCATGGTGGCGGGCACCTGTAATCCTGGCTACTTGGGAGGCTGAGGCAGGAGAATCACTTGAACATGGGAGGTGGAGGCTGCAGTGAGCCAAGATCATGCCACTGCACTCCAGCCTGGGTGACAAAGCAGGACTCCACCTCAAAAAAAAAAAAAAAAATGACAGACTGGTGAAGGAGGATATGCTTTGCTTGGGATATACTCGATTTAGAGGGACAGTGAGGCATTGATTTACAACTATCCAGCTGACACTGGCATTATTCCAGTCACCTGAGCAGGAGAGTTGCTGAGGTGGCTGTCCACATGTCCATGTGGGATAGTGCCTGAAAATCAGCTGGTCCTAAATTCAATAAACAAGCAAGATGCAGCTACAAACACACAGATTTGTAACCTCTGCTTGAATGAGAAGCCTGTGATCCCTATCATAGGACCTAAGTTTCATGCTCTCTGCATAAGTCAGCCCAGTCTGGAGAGCTGCACTCAATTTCTGGGGGCATATTTTAGGATGAATTAGAGATCATTTGAGTGACTGACCTGAACAATGATAGAGAAGACTTCAAGGGACATAATATAGTTAGCTTCAGATTTAAGGAAGACTGCCATGTAGAAGAGGAAAACAACATGATTATTTTTCTTCTTGAAGGAAGAATTAGGCTCTGTAGGCTGAATTTATAAGGAAGGAGGAGTTTAGGAACATTAAGCTGTTTTCTAACATTAGAATATGAGCTGCCTCCTAGGTTGAGAGCTCCCAGTCACTGGGGGTTGGAAGATGGGAGTGGGATTCTAGTAGAGGCTGGAGGAGAAGCAGTCCCAGGGAGGCTGGAGGAGAAGCAGTCCCAGGGAAGCTGGAGGAGGGCATCGCTGCTCTAAGTTAAAGATTGGCTTGGGTGACTTCTTAAGTCCCTCCTACTGTGAAGATTCTCTAATTGAACTGATGGAGTATTAGGCTTGGTTTATGTGGGAAAACTTTTGCTAGTGTTAATTTCAATTCTATGAAAGTGACGAGAAGTACTCCTTTTTTTTTTTGTTTTTGTTTTTTTAAAATCTATATTTCTTGAACCCAAAGGTATCTGGGCATGTCCTGTGATAATGCTGAAGCGGTACTAGGCCAGGGCAAATTGTTCTGACCCTGCTCCCGCTTCTTCTGACTTATGCCCAGATCCGAGTGTAATCCTGTAAAATGAACATCAAGATGATATTGATAAATCACATCTATAACTTCCATCTCCAAAAGATCCATTCCAAGTCAAAAGGTGTTCTTCCAGGAATAACAGCCTGTTAATGGAAGTATATTGAGAAAGGTCCACAAAGGGAAACAAGTAGTCACCACACATTAAAGGGGAAGGTGAGGAGTTGGTGTGTTTTGCTAATTTTGGAAGGCAGCTATGCTAACCACCATAACACCAATGCCTTGGCAAATATGTTGCTAATTTATTATACATTTGGAAATTCAGTGTCTCTCTGATAAGAGTTTCTTATTTATAAGTGTGGAAATACTTTTTTTCTTTTTCTTTCTTTTCTTTCCTTCCTTTTTTTTTTTTTTTTTTTTGAGACAGGGTCTTGCTCTGTCACCAGGTTGGAATGCACACTGCAACCTCCACCTCCCAAGCTCAAGTGATCCTCCAACCCCAGCCTCCTGAGTAGCTGGGATTACAAGTGCACACTACCATGGCCAGCTAATTTTTGTATTTTTATTACAGATGGGGTTTTGCCATGTTGCCCAGGCTAGTCTTGAACTCCTGGGCTCAAGCTATCTGCCTGTCTTGGCCTCCCAAAGTGCTCGGATTACAAGTGTGAGCCATCGCGCCCAGCCATAAGGACTTTTTCAAACATGTTTCTGTTTGATCATGTTCAACCTCTCCAATATAATAAAGAAGTTTATTATATTACTTCAGAGGTTTGGAACCTGAAGCTAGGAGAGAGTCCATGTCTTCTCGAAGATCACACAGAAAGATATGAACGAAAACTGAACTTCATATTTCTGGCTCCTAGTGCAGATCTCTTTTCTTATTTCCTCATGGCTTAATTTTTGGTTAAAAGCAATGACTTCTGGCTGGGCACAGTGGCTCATGCCTGTAATTCCAGCAATTTGGGAGGCCAAGGCAGGCAGATCACATGAGGCCAAGAATTTGAGGCCAGCCTGGCCAACACGGTGAAACCCCATCTCTATTAAAAATACAAAAATTAGCCAGGCCCGTGTGATGCGTGCCTGTAGTCCCAGCTACTTGGGAGGCTGAGGCATGAGAATTGCTTGAATCTAAAAAGTGGAGGTTGCAGTGAGCTGAGATCACACCACTGCACTCCAGCCTGGGCAACACAGCAAGACTCTCTCTCTCTCTCTCTCTCTCTCTCTCACACACACACACACACACACACACACACACACACACACGCCATGACTTTTGTAGGAAGGATGAAAAAAGCCTGGGCTAGGAACAAGAGGATCTGAAGTCTAGTTCTCACTCTTACTCCATTGCTGGCTACTTGAATGGTCCCTAAAGTTCTTTATGACTCATCTGTAAAATAAAAGCATTGGCTATAACAACCTTGACATGGTCTGCTCTGAAACCACAAGTGTAAACACAAAGTACTGAATGAATGCAGATAAAAAGGACCTTTAGGAAGGAGATAATTACCTAGTATAGGTTCAGCTTAAAATTAATGGGTTATCAGGCACTCTTCCCTTAAAACTTTTCCAAAAATGAATATCACAACTACTTTCCCCAGCCCAGCACTTAGCACCCACCCACAGTCCTCTCTCGTCCTATCATCCCAGTCTACTCCTTTTTATTCACCCTCTGTTTGAAACTGGACTGTTTGTTCTTCTCTAAACAATTTGTGTATTTAAACCTCCACGCTTTGACTCCCACTATTCATTCCACATTGAATCTCCTTCTGTCCCTATCTGGGTATTTCTAAATCCTTTCCTATGTTTTAATTCCTGTGTTTTAATACATCCTTTGAGAAGCCTTCTGAACCTTCACAGAATTTATTTTCCTTTATTCCTTATGTCCTTCAACATTTCTGCCTCTATTTTGCAGATGTGGCTTCTTTCTGTCTCCACATTGTAAGCTTCTTGAAGGCAGTGGCTCCACCTTATTTATCTATCACCCAACAACACGTATTGCCAGATAAGGCAATAAAATGTGCTGAATATATTATAGAAAGATAATTATGAATATGACACAATAACAAGACACTATTTTTAATGAACAAATATCTGATAGATTTTTTTCCACTTTAAATGTGTCCAGAATCAGAATTCTATAGCAGAAAGTTAGAGATCATGTGGTTCAATTTCCTTCCTTTGAAGAAAACGAGGTCAGGAGAAGCTGACCACCTTACTATGGTCACACTGCTCTTCTATTTAGAATAAAAACAAAACCAGACCAGCACTTTCCTAACCTTCCAACTCTCTCTCACCATAATGATCTGCCCTTTCTCTTTCCATATGGAACAATGGAATAAAACATATGAATCATAGGAACCCAACAATGAATGAAACACATTATATCTGTTGACATAATAAACTTGCGTATCAGCTAAACCTAGCATTTCCCATTTCTCAATCCTAATTATTCTTTTACCGTGCTATTTCCTGTCCACCTATTCGCTTTGGAAAAAAGGATGCCTAACAACAAGGAGGGTCACTGTGGTAATGACTGTCTTGAGACAGGCAGAATTCTGACTGGACTGAGTTCAGCAGCCACCACGCAAGAGGCTGATTTGCATGTGGTTCTCTGATGTGCTTTGGGAGACGACACCTCCTCTCATCAAGCATTATCTGTCTGGCATGCTTTTAACAGGACTGAAGTAAACATATATATTGGAGAAATATAGGAAAGGTGTGTTCTGAAAAACAAATATGTACACAGAGATGATGAAGCCATAACACGAATGTGTTACATCCTTAGAGCATCTTGGCTCATTCCCGTATTTGTTCATAAACATTTCACAAGCACATCCTTTGTGCCAGGAACTTGCCATATTGTTTTGTAACCAATGACACATCTGTCTCCCCTGTTGGACTGTGAGTTCTTGCAGTCTAGTAAAGAGGGCAGGTAATTCGATAAAGGGTTAAAAGCCACTGTAAATGTAGGATTAGAGGAATGTAGGCAGACGGTGATGGGGACGTGGACATGGGGCTGATGGAGCACCCAACTGCCCAGCTGTGGGCTGACAGGATAGTGTGGGTGGTTGAGGGTTGAGCTGGCTTTTGAAGTGTACAGAGAATTCGCCAGCCAGATAAGAGCGGAACGCATCTGAGAGTGAAAAGATTATGCAAAGGCTCAGGCGTATAAAAGAACCATGTCACATTCAGGAACTCTGAGGAGTGAGGAGTAGCAAGAGAGCAGTGGGTACTTGGAGCAAATACGATTGGAGACAAGGCTGGTGAGGCAGGCGGGAGAAAGCAGGGCTCAGTGTGCCCTGTACTGGAATCTGCTCTTGCTCTGGTAAGTGAATGGGAACTATGGGGAAACCTTAATTTAGAAGGGACATGACTAGGTTTGATCTGTCACATACTCAGGACTACTACTTAGGACAACCTTATGGAGCTTTGCAGGTGAGGAAGATGAGGATTAGAGAATTGAAATGCTGCTTACACAGTTAAAAAGTGGCAGAGCTGGAACTCAAATGCAGGGGCTCTTCCAAAGACCTCCGCAGTTACTATGGGTGCTGGGAGATTGGTGGGCTCTGGTCCAGACACAAATTTTTTATAGCTTCTTACTCTCTTTGAAATTTAGTAATGAGTTATCTTCACCCCTCCCCTTTCCATAAGTAAACAAACTAAATCAGCTTCAGTTTTCCAACTCAAAAAGAAAATAGCCCTTAGGTGACTTTTGCTTGAGTTTCCTTGAGCCCAGGTAACCAAGGAGCTGAGGAATCTCTTGAATCTTTTTTTTTTTCTTTTTTATTTTTTAGATGGAGTCTTGCTCTGTCGCCCAGGCTGGAGTACAGTGGCATGATCTCAGCTTACTGCAACCTCCACCTCTAGGGTTCAAGCAATTCTCCTGCCTCAGCTTCCCAAGTAGCTGGGATTACAGGCGTGCACCACCGTGCCTGGCCAACTTTTGTGTTTTTAGTAGAGACGGAGTTTTACCATGTTGGCCAGGCTAGTCTTGAACTCCTGACCTCAAGTGATTCGCCCACCTCGGCCTCCCAAAGTGCTGGGATTACAGGCGTGAGCCTCCACGCCCAGCCGCATCTCTTGATTCTTACAGGAACTGATAAATCCTGGTTTTCTGATCTTTCATGTTTCTCCCTTGTTCTTCTGAAATCTTGTTTCCTTTAGGTAGGCTTGTATGGTCTCTTTTTGAAGTAAGTATGACTAAAAAGTTTGTGTTTGTTTAATCTGGAGGTGCTGACCTTGCCTGGGAGGTAACAGTAACTGTCTGGTGAGTCCTGGGTAAAGGTAGCTTTACAGAGTTCCTGCCAAAAATGAGTGCTTTGTTTTAGGAAAAACATCTGTCTGACTTTTTTGATGTGAGGGAGGGGCTAAGAACTCTCTTGGGTGTAACAGTACGTCATAGTCTCCTTTTGGAAGTGGCAGGAGAGTTTTTTTTTCTACTGAGACCTAGGAGTGATACTTCAAATATGTGAGAACCAATAAGACCTCAGCATCAACAAAGCAGAACGAACACTGGCCCATGGAAAACCTAATTTACTGCCATATTGGTTAGGTATCAGCTCTTCCAACACCCAACAGAGAAGGTACATCCTCTGCAGAAGTAATAATGTTGGATGTCAGTAGCTCTATATCCAAGATGGTAGCCTAGGTTCCCTTTCTCTTGAGGATGCTGATTGGGATGCTATATACTTCTGCTTGTACCTGCTTTCTGAAAACACAGTGCAGAACAAGAGCACTGCCAATTCCTAGGGCCGAAGGGCCTAGTGACTGCAGTGATGTTTCCTGGAGCCAAAGCCAGACAGCTGCTCCTTTTCATTAGTCATCTCCATGGGGAAAAAAGGGTGTTCCCATTCATTCAGGGGTCTTTGCCTTCCAGAGTTCTGTCTGGAGCAAAGAGCGCTTCCATCTTTAGATGCCTTAGAAGGTAAATAAGTGAGTATAATTTCAGTTCACATTATAAGTAGAAGATATAACTTCATATTGTTTTTGGATCTCCCTAAACTCAGTCATTTTATTTGGAAATTTTTACAATAATGAGCAAAGTAAAGTATTGGACTCATATTTAGAAAGTTGTAGAAGGGCCAGGCATGGTGGCTCACACCTGTAATCCCAGCACTTTGGGAGGCCAAGGCAGGCAGATCACTTGAGGCCAGGAGTTGGAGACCAGCCTGGCCAACATGGTGAAACCCCATCTCTACTAAAAATACAAAACTTAGCCGGGTGTGGTGGCGTGCACTTGTAATCCCAGCTACTTGGGAGGCTGAGGCAAGAGAATTGCTTGAACCAGGGAGGCAGAGGTTGCAGTGAGCCGAGATGGCACCACTGCACTCCAGTCTGGGCAACAGAGTAAGACTCTGTCTCAAAAAAAAAAAAAAAAATAATGAAAGTTGTAGAAGAAAGAACAATCTATTAAGAACCTTCAGTTCTTCCCTTAATGAACTGGAGCTTTTGCATAGTGCTGAAGTCCCTTTTGACACATTACCTGCAAGTGGAGGCAGGAATCCAACGTTTATAAATTACCCAGTAAAATGCACAGTACTCTTGTAACGTAGGTTATTAATCTATGGAAGCTCGCATGCATCAGTTGCTCAGACAGCTGAGTGCTTAGTAATGTAGCATGTCCCTTCTAGCAAAACAGTGGTAATATATCTAACCTGTAGGCAGTGTGTGGCTTCAGTGGTCCATCACAGAATTTTTGCTGAGTGGGATCGCATTTTCCACCTAGGCTCTCCATCTCTGCTCCAAGCTTAATGTTAAAACTCTTGGAGTTGCTGTTAGGATTTTCGGCACATTTGCTGGCAAAATAATTAGTCTGATACACCCGAATGGAGGCATTGTGCCTGTACTCCAGGTAGGAAGGGAGAGGGTGCTGCTGTTCTGGCTTCAGCTCATCACTGCCTGGAGGAGAAAACCCACAGTTAAGGACTGCCTTTCTTGTGACTTAGGTGATTTCAGTGATTTTAAATTAGGTTTCTAAGGCTGCCTCCACATCCACTATCTCTGGCCATTTCCAAAGTACAGATTCTGCAATCTCAAAGAACGATGTGAAATTCTCCTAATAAAGTTAATTTTAATTCACTTTTTCCAAAATACATAAATAGTGTGTATATAAAATACACACACACACAGCATCATTTTCCTAGGAAATAAAATAAGGGTAGCTCATTGCATTAAATGAGAGCATGTCTCACAACTCCAGAGTGTTGGACAACTCCCATTGTGAGTGAACCCACTTGATAAACTATCTTGCCAATAACCATTGTAGTTGAGCTAATAAGGAAACCCCTATGACCTGGGAAATAGGAAAAAGATAAGAGAAATCATGTCCTAGGCCAGAGCAGTCATCCCACAAGGCGTGCTCCACATGTCATGCCCAGTTTGATTATTGCTCTGCATGTGGATCTGTTATCTTGAGTACAGTTTAATCCCCATCCAAATTTGGCCCCTTACTCAGAGCACTTCCCAGAACTCTTCCCCTGTCCACCCAGCCTGCTGTGTGTTTTGGCACTGCAAACCAGTTTTGATGTTGGCTGGAGAAAAGCGTAAGTAGAAAGATAAATACTATAGAGATCAGATACTATTTACAATGAGCTTCAAGAAGTGGTGCAGTGAGGGTTTATCATAGCATCCTGGATTGTTGTTTAATAAAATTTGCTCATAAGTGAGTCTTAGAAATATTTTGTTGGCAGTAGTTAAAAAGAAATGTTGTCTTTAGCATGAGTGTGTACACTATAAATGGCGTTTATATGAGATGGATTGTTATCTTAGCTAACCTGGAAATCACAGCTCATCTCCATGGACATCAATAATGGGAAGGCTGTCTGGCTGGGGAACACAAGGCTACTTTCTGGGGTGTGACTTTTTTGGTTACTGTCTCATATTCATGTAGCAAAACACTGTCTTCATTGCAGTCTAATTAAGTCTAAAGTCTTTCCACAGTTCACTAATTTATCTTCAATTATGTGGTGTGAGGAAATCTGGGACACACCACTGACCCTTGAAATTATTTAATTAATTGTGCATAACCAGATTTAGTACAATTAAATAAACTGTGAAAGCACATAGACTGTTAGATACTGTGAGCCTAAAATACCCATTGGCCTAGAAACTCCTCACAGTTTGTCAGGTTTCAAGTTTCCCCCTTACCCACAAATGGGTCAAAATTATTAGGGATGCTTAAGAAACTCATGCAGCACCTTAAACAGTATAAAAATATATAAGAAAGGTAAACTATATTAATGTCATTCCAGGCACAAGCATCTCTTTTGGAGAAATAACACACAAGACCTCAATGGCGAATACATATATGGACAGGTGTGCCCCAAATACAACACTCTTACAGGTGGTTTGACAAATGCTGATATAATAAGCTTGAAAGCTCATACTGAGTGGTTGTATGTGATGTTGTGATAACTATTCCCTAGACTTTGTTCTTATCTGTAGGAATTAGGTAGATATTGAATAATTTAGGAAACTAGAGAATAAAACTATTCAAAATTCAGTGGAGAAGGGAAGAATGTTTTTCATGAACATCTTTTCCTTCTTTTAAGCTTTTGGTTATTTTTGTGACTTGGTGGGTGGTTTGCAAGCATGATCAGTTGAGGCATTTGAGACAGGGAGGGGTGAAGACAGTTGAGGCATATTAATGTTTAATGGTAGAACAAAAGAGTAGTGAACAAGACTGACCCAATAATGAAGAGGACTGAATAAGGCATTACATGCAATGCACTTCCAATAGTGCACAGCACGTAGTAAGGGCTCAATAAATGATGGTTATTGTTATTATCGTTGTGGTTGCTATTATCATTACTCTTCTATTTAATAATTAAACCCAGAGGATAACAGGCTTTATTGCCCAAAGAGCCTTTGAGCAGCTTTTTCTTACATCTCCCTGTATCCAGCAGAGAGAGGGGTGAATGATACAAAAATTACATTTTCTACTTAAGTTTCTTAAACTTTGTCACAGAAAGATCTCCCACATGACCTCTGAGGAAGCAATTCTGTGTCTCAGAGTGGAGTTAACTCATGATAACTTACCATCAGCCTCTCTCACCACCACTGTGAAGTATTTCACAGCTCCATTGGTGTCGCTGAACCAGCTGCAGTTGACAGTAAAGTTGATGGAAGACTTGCTAATTAGCACATCCTTTTCATTCACACGAATGTGTGGGGGTGGAGGAGGGGGGCCTGGAAAAAGAGGTGGGGAAGGAACCAAGAGGGGTCACAACTCTGCTTTCACAGCATAAACAACAGTTAGTGAAATGAAGGATTCTGCTCTCCTGCATCAGACTGTGTGTGTGTGAGCGTGTGCCTGTGTTTAATGCTGTAATCAAGAAACTCTCCCCTTCTCCTGAAGGAAAACAGGCAGAGGAAGTGATTTGCCAGTGGCACATTAAACATAATGAAAGAGGTAGCTCTTCAGCAGAATTTCCTGAAGTTGTAGCTTCAAATTGCTTAAGAGCTCCATTATAGCTCTAACTATATGAGGCAAAGTGATATATTTAAATACTAACTCATTCAGGTACTTTAAGACCATCTAACTTGTTTGCTGTCAGGGTACTTTACCCAGAGAAATGTTTCCATTTCTGGAGACTTTTAGGTCCTCCTCTCCAGGTGGCAATCAGACAGGCTTATGCAAAAGTGAAGTGTATGCAAGTGAATAGCAGTGATGGATATGATAGAGAAAGGTGCACAGCCCCTTCACTCCAGTGACAGGAGGCTCTGTGCGCACCTCCAGGGACACTTACGGTCTATCATTGTGATAGTGCTGTCTTCAACCACCTCGCTGGTCATGCCGGCCGACTGCACTTTGATGGACACCAGGTACCTCTTATGGGGCACTAGCATCATGATGTTGAGCAGAGATTTTTCTTTCTCCAGCTTTCTGGAAAACTCAACTTCTTGGGTGTCCATTTTCCGGCATTCAATACTATAACCATCAAAGTCAGAATCAGGAGGGATCCAAGAACAGGCAATGGCCGTGGAGTTCTGAGGCCGGCAATGCAGGTTTTGTATCTTGTCAGGCTCTAAAGGAAACAGAGGAGGCAACACTTTTCAGAACTCAGGGAGAATTTTTTTTTTTCAGCTCCTTTGGGTCCAACTAGCTCTGAGATCTAGGTATAGGAGGGACAGACAGGCAAATACAGAGTGTCGTGGCTCACCCTAGCAGAGACACATGAGCATAAATCTCCCAGGGAACCAAGGTTGGGGTAGGAAAAGCTGGAGGACAGGTGTGGACAAGTCTGAGTAACAGTTAAAGAATGCCTTGATGGGCTTATTAATAGTTAGACGTGGCTGAGGACAGTCTCTGAGCCTGAGGATATATCAATAGAGACCTTCCAAATGGAAAAAGCAAAGAAAACAAAGACTGAAAAGCAGAACAGAAGATCGAAGGACCATGGAACAACCACAAAAGGTGTATCCTACACAAAATGGGAATACCAGAAGAAGAAAGAAAGGAACAGAAGAAATATCTGAAACAAGAATGACTAAGAATTTCCCACAAATAAATGTTAGACACCAACCACAGATCCAGGAAGCTCAGAAAACACCAAGGAGGATATATGCCAAAAAAACTATGGCTAGGCATATCGTTTTCACACTACAGAAAATCAAAGATAAAGAAAAATTCCTGAAAGAAGCCAGAGGGGGAAAAACAACTTACATATAGAGAAGCAAAGTTAAGAATTATGTCCTCCTCTGAAGCCATGCAAACAAAAAGAGAGTGGAGTGAACACTTCTTTCACGTGTTGAGAGAAACAAGTACCTACTATGTGCCAGGTGCTCTTCTGGGGATTATGAACAGTACAGAGGTAAATAAGACGTTAGCTCTAACCTCTACAAATGGAAATGAGTCCAAAATAGCCATAACACAAGGTAGAAAGGAAAACATACCAGAAGAAATGGTGAGAGAAGGTGCTATGTGGTGTGACACACAACTTTTAGCTGCTGGCTATTAGTGATCAGCAGGAGTTAGTAAAAGCTGTAAGGCAGAGGTGACACTCTGCCAAGGTATCACGAAAGAGGCATTCTACGTAGAGAAAAACCAGAAACCCAGGTACCAAAGGAGGAGGTGCCGGAGTGGGATGGTAGAAAATTGAGAACTGCAAATCATTCATTATGGTTGAAGCATATTTGTGAGAAATTGAGTACTGGAATGATTTTACATGAAAATTATAAACTTCTATTCTATTTAAACTTCTGCTATTTTGGATTTTCTGTTACCCATAGCCTCACCCGATCCTAATAAATACAAGCCTCGAAGAAAACAAAACAAAACATAACAAAACAAAAACAAGTTCCACCATAATCATTCCTCATGAAACAGCACTGAGTCTCTCTTTCATGGCAGTTTTTGTCCTCTTGGGCACTCCCCCTTTTGGTAAATGCCTCCCTTAAATTCTAGCACCCGGGACTGAATACAACAGTCCAGTTGTGACTTATAAGCCTAGCCTCTAACAGAGTTGTATGAGCTCTTAAACTGAGCACCTGCGAGGCTGTTGGGAAAGGCAGTCTCATGTGCATAGTCTATCAACCCCCATTTGGCTGTGTAAGAAATGGCCCTTGAGCTTAAGATACTTTCTTACCAAGAGATGGAGAGCCTACACACCCTGTGCTGGGCTCATTGCCTTGTGTGGGAGTATCATTCCCTGTTGCAAGCTCAATGTATGCTCTTTTGTTCTGCTTAAGCATGTGTGTCACATGGTAGATGGCGAACACCAATGCTATAGTTGTCCTCTGAGGAGACAGGACAGGGTCCTTCTACTGTGGCCCGAGAGGGGTGCACTTAGCCAACTGCCCTCCATTGGCTGCTGGAAGAGACCACAGACAATGCGCCCTTCTGTTTTCTGTTGTCAGGGTTGAAGATAGCAAGTGCATCTCTGGGCAACTACTGCAGCTGGCTGTGGGGGACTGATGCATACTGTTGAGGCTGATCTTACTCTGTCTCCTCTCTATGTAAGTAAAGCTTTGTTCCATCCAGTGTTTGCATTGTGTTTCCCTGGCTACTCTAATACCAGATGCAATGGTCAGAAGTGTTTAGAGTTCTGCCCTGGGTTTGGTAACCAGTGCAGGGTGTTCTGCTTAGCAGATTTCATGAACACAGCCCACAGTCAGCCACGGAAAACTCATCCTGAGCTCGCCATAAACTAAAACTCTTAGTTCTTTTTCACATATTTCTCTTGACACACAAATAACTGCTCTTTGGATACAATGTGGCATAAAAGTTATACTTGTTATAGTATTAATGCTTATTAAAAAAATAAAACAACTACTTGCTTAAATTTCTAACTTTCAACTATGTATTTTATCAACAACCAATAACTATCTGATCTGATCCCAGAAGCTACTTATACTGGGTATTATTGAAACACAAATATTTGGATTAAAGTCCCTACACTGAATACCTGTCTTTCTTTGAGGGTGATAGTATCTATCCCAAAATGCCTTTGGGAAGAAACTGGTATATGCTTCGTCGTCGAAGTATTTTTATCTCAGGGACATACAGCAGTATATGCTAACTATGATCCCTCTGCTTCTAGTTTTGCCTCTTTCAATCTATTCTCTACACTGTACCCAGAGTAACTTTCTAAAGTGTAAATAATGATTATGATATCTCTGCTGAAATTGAGTGGCTCCAGTTGGTTCAAAATAAAGTTCAAAGTAGTTACCATGGAATACAAAATATTTTATTATCTGATTCCCTTAATCCTCACCTTTTATGCTATGGCCAAATAAACTTCTTTCTGTTCCCCTATTGGTAGATCTTGTACTCTCCCTCCTCTCTCATCTTGGAATATTTTATTCTCTCTACCTGGAATATTCTCCACTTCTTCCCCTACCTCTACCTGGTAAATCTCTTGCTTTAGGTTTCTATTTGGATGTTTCCTTTTCCAAGAAGTTCTCTTGTATTGGGTCAGATTACCTAACAAGTGTCTCCATAGTACCATTTACTTCCCTCATCACACCCAAAATATAATGTCTATTTACAAATAGTACGTCCTACCTAATTGTAAGCCCCATGAGGGCAGAGAGAGATTTATTGTCCCTTGTTGTTAATGTTGAATGAACGAACAAATCTACAGAGACTTCTGCCTGAATTCAAATCCAGACCAATCCCATGTAAAAATATGGATTTAATCCAAGCCCTATTTGAGTAAGATGTTGAACATATACTTCCTCTACTCCATTTGAGAAATAAGAGTAGCAAAACATGTCATACTTGTCCTCACAGATCCAAAAATTGGTTTGCTGTAAGTTTTCCAGGAATCACCACTGACAGTCTTGACGTTGAATTGATAGGATCTCCCTGGACGAAGACCATACACAATGCGTCCTTCTGATTTTCTGTTGTTGTAGGGGTTGAAGACAGTAAGTGCATCTCTGGGCAACCACTGCAGCTCAAAGTCGTTGTAGTCTGTCCAGTCTGGGGGCCCTTTCCACGTGATGGCCAAGGATGTGTTTGCAATGTCAGCAAATGACATAAGACTGGGAGGACTTGGAGCTGAATGTAGGAGAAAGTGAAAAATCACATAATCACAGCTATGCCATAACATATACAAATAAGATAGCTGAGCAACATCAGACACACTTTTAATGTACTTTGTAGGAAGAGATAATATGATAATAATATAGTAGCAGGAGCTTTCATTAATAGTGTTTATTATGTGTAAGGCACTGTCTTCGAGCATTTTATGTACTTTTTTTTTTTTTTTTTCACTTTTTTTTTTTTGAGACAGAGTTTTGCTCTTGCTGCCCAGGCTGAAGTGCAGTGGAGTGATCTTGGCTCACTGCAACCTCCGCTTCCCAGGTAGCTGGGATTACAGGCACCTCAGCCTCCCAAGTAGCTGGGATTACAGGTGCCCACCACTACACCTGGCTAATTGTTGTATTTTTAGTAGAGACAGGGTTTCCTCTCGTTGACCAGGCTGGTCTCGAACTCCAGACCTCAAGTGATCCACCCACCTCGGCCTCCCAAAGTACTGGGATTATAGGCATGAGCCACGGTGCCCAGCCTCATATACCTTTTCTTAAATATTCATAGCCAGATCTTCCTTACCATGGTGCTGTGGAGCATGAGTGTGCCCTGAATGGGTTACAAGTGTGTGAAGATATTAATTCCATCAGATTTTGGGGTACAGGGCTGACGTCCACAGACAATTATGTTCAGTTGCAGATAGCCTTGTTGATTAACTCCAGGGTGGCACACAGACCTCTGTGTGTGCCCATGACATAAAAACAGTTAGGAAGCACTGGTGATAGCCACACAGTGATGATGTATATGATTATTCCCACTTTGCAGATAAGAAAACTGAGGCCTAGAGATGCTCAATGACTTGCCCAGATTCATAGAGCTAAGCTAAGGACATATTTCTTTTGGACCAAAGCCTTGTCCTTTATCTGTTGTCCCACAGTCCCTTCCCAAATTCAGGGGCTAGCTCAGGGTATATCATTATTGGCTTTATCTCTTGTCATTAAAATCAGAATCAAAATGTGTCTCTGGAAGCTACTTCCCACCATCCCTTGGCCATTGGCACCTGGGCTTCTCACCTGTTCTGCTCTCCGCTGTGACTTTATTGCTGAGATCTCCACTGTGAGTTACCACCCACAGCACGTACTTCCTTCCAGGAACAAGGCCTTGAAACCGCCACTCCGTCAGGTCCTTGTCTTTCCAGTTTTCCTTCTTTGTGCCATTGGGATTATAGAGAATCAGCTCATAAAAGTCAAAGTCCCCAGAGGCTGGACTCCAGTTGAACCAAAGGCTGTCTGTCGTGTTCCGATTGGACCCCCTGAGATGACTCACAGAGGCTGGGACTTAAACAGAAGAAAAATTGTTACTGAGAACAAAACAGAAACACAGGCATTTTGGCCCACAGGTGAGAGTATATGCTATGTTGGGCATGTGGGTGAGTCGTACATATTGTAGTCAGATCTTGCCTACATTTCAGGCCATTTAACTTTAAGGGCATATGGACTAGAGATATGGTATAAATTAAAACAAAACAAACCAGGTGGTGACTTCTAGATGCTTGCCACATGGACCCTGATAGGCATGTAAAATGAAATCTTCATAAATGATGAATAAATCGTTGTCATTTAGCTTATGAAAAAGGCCCAGAAAATGTATATACGAGGTTCCAGCTCCTCCCAGTGTGGCCTATCTCATTGCAGCCACCATCCCATAACAACCCTCTCTGGGTCTCTTTACATCCTCTGTACCCTCCTTTAGGTTCTCAGTTCTCTTGTGCTCTTTTTTATAAAATCTGTATTGGTACAACTTCATTTAGGGAGAGAAGTGTTAACAGTCACTCCTATCACTGTATAGATTAGTCATGCTGCCACCTATCCCAATAGCTTTGCTATTTTTTGGAGAATGAAGACTGTTGCCACATTGGGAGACCTTTAAGCATTAATGAGCAGGTAAGGAAAGATGTGCAAAGGGTGGGTTGCCTCAGAAATGATGACATCTAGGCAATTCTATTTGTGGTTGAAGCTTATCGCTGCTCTTTTTCACTCCTTTCAAAAGACAAACAGAACTTCTGTTGGGTGCCCTTGGAATATGTTCCCACGTGGCTCCCCTCACCTTTAGGTCTCTGCTGAAATGCCTTCTCCTATCTAAAGCAGTTGCTTGTCCTGCCAAGTCACTATCATGACACATCATTTTTTTCATAGAATTTAAGGCATTCCCAGATCATCTCCCTTTGATGATCTGTCCTTGTCCTCTTCCCTCCCCGCTATTGCAGAGTTCTCTGAGGGCAGGGCCCTTGACTGTCTTGTTCACCGTCACATTACAGCAGTGGGCCATGTGCCTGGCACAGAAGAGCACCTAAAACTATTGTCAAATGAGAAAAAAGAATTGAATAGGTGGGCTGACCGTGGTGGCTCACGCCTCTAATTCCAGCACTTTGGGAGGTCGAGGCAAGAGGATTGCTTTAGCCCAGGAGTTCAAGACCAGCCTGGGCAATACAGGGAGGCCCCCATCTCTACAAAAAATAAAAATTAAAAAGTTAAAAGTTTGCCATGCATGGTGTCGTGTGCCTGTAGTCCCAGCTACTCGGGAGGCTGAAGCAAGAGGATCACTTGAGCCCAGGTGGTCGAGGCTGCAGGGAGCCATGATGGCATCACTGCACTCCAGCCTGGGCAACAGAGTGAGAACTCGTCCCCCCCCAAAACATTTTTTTTTGAACAGGAGATAAAGGACTCAAATTATGGGAAAAGGGTAGATTCTGTTTTTTGTTTGCAGCCCAGAGAGATGTCTCTCACTTTCCTGGAACTCTGTGTTTTCACTTCATCTAGCGCTGTGTTTCTAATTCGCAGCAGTCACTGCCTGTTTGTTATATTTGTGGTTGCCCTTCTCTGCTCCTGCTCTCCTCTCCGTCTATTTCTTGTTAGAAAGCTGAAGGGTGTAGCTCGAATTAAACTATGATGGGTTACAGCCCTCTTGTACAGTTTGATGGCAAGAGGAGGAACCGCATTCATTTTTTACCAAGCCCTAGGAAGTAAATAAGTGGAGGCAAAAGAGCAGAAGCCAGTGCAAAAACTAGCCACAAATTAGTTATATATAATCAAAGGTGCGATTTAGGGTCAAACAGCCTGAAAGTCACAAATGCCATATAAAGCTACATCCTGAATAGAATAGGAAACTAAGGACCAACCAAGGAAAAGCCAGTGAATACCGGGACAATTCCCCCACGATTCATTACTGCTTGGGTCTTGGTCTTACCTGTTCTACCAAATATGAAAGACTCATTAGACAGCTCCCCACTGTGAGTTACAATCACCATCTTGTACATTCTGCCTTGTAGCAAGTTCTGGAAAGAGAAGCTCTGGACTAGTGGGTCAACTTGAGCTCTCTCCTGGAGATTCCCATCTGGGTTGTACAAAAAGATGTTGTACCAGCTGAGCTCCCCCTCTGAGGCGGTCCAGCGGAAGGACAGGTGCCTGGTGGAGTTCTCTGTGATCCTCAGGTCGGTGACAGCTGCTGGGACTGGAAAAGTCGAGGAGCAAGAGAATGAGGGAGGGAAATGCAGTGAGGAGAAGGGAGCAGGTGGGGAAGAGGGAAAAGCAAACAGAAAGAGGAAGTTGGATTCAGTGATACGGGAAACAGTAACAATAGGAAAAGCCAAAAGCACTTTACAAAAATCTTCATGTTAGAATTTTGCAAACCCTTTTGGACTTCTGTGCTACCTCTTGGCAAGGTCAAGTGCTGCTAGCAACCACCTCCTTGCAAACTGCTGGCACAGATGCTGCCTGATTCCTCAGAAGTCTTAAGATGCCAGTAGAAACAGAACAGGACATCTGCCTTGATTTCGCCTGAGTTCTCTTTCCTCCACCCCAAATGCTCTTTCTCAGGCTCTCTTTGCTTTCTCCTCTCCTTTTGTCAGGCCCTTACAAGGTGTTATTTCCCATGGATCCATCCTTTGTTTCCTTCATATTCTATAGCCCCAGCTGAGCAATCAGTCTCATTCAATTTATGGATTTAACTAGCATTCTGGTCCAGATCTTTTTATGTCCAGCTCACTTCTCTTCTGAGCTCAAATCCATATTTCCAAATACCTATGGTCCCTTCTCTCTGCAAGTCACTCAGGCATCTCAAACTCAATACACAGCTGAACTCTGGAGTTTTGCTTGACCCTCTCTCCTCCTTCTTCTATCTCAATTAATGGCATCATCTTCTACCAGACATCCCAGGTGAAAACTCTGGAATCTTCTGTCCCTTCCTCTATAATCCACTCAGCCCCCAAGTGCCACTTAAGCTAATGCAAAAATATTTCTTGACTGTACCCACTATTCTTCACCAGGGCCCCTGCATTCATTCAGCTATTGGTCCTTATCATCCTATGACTGCAGTCATGTCATGACCCCCATTACCTGTCCATCTGCATCCCCACCACTCATCCTCGCTCACTCTGTTCCAGCCATATGGGCCTCTTTACTGTTCCTCCAACAGGTCAGACACACACCCACTCAAGGTCTTTGTGTTGGCATTGGCTCTGCTTATAAATACCCAAATATTTGCATGACTTTCTCATTTCTTTCAGATTTTTACTCAAATGTCACTGCCTCAATGAAGTCTTTGGGGACTGTACTATCTAAAATTGTAAGTCCCGACCAGGTGCAGTGGCTCATGCCTGTAATCCCAGCACTTTGGGAGGCTGAGGAGGGTGGATCACCTGAGGTCAGGAGTTCAAGACCAGCCTGGCCAACATGGTGAAACCCTGTCTCTACTAAAAATATAAAAATTAGCCGGGTGTAGTGGTGCATACCTGTAGTCCCACTCGGTATGCACTCGGGAGGCTGAGGCAGGATAATTGCTTGAACCCAGGAGGTGGAGGTTGTGGTGAGCTAAGATCGCACCACTGCACTCCAGCTTGGGCAACAGAGGGAGACTCCATCTCAAAAAAAAAAAAAAAAAATTGTAAGCCCCTTGACCAGGCGTGGTGGCTCGTGCCTGTAATCCCAACACTTTGGGAGGTTGAGGCAGGTGGATTTCTTGAGCCCAGGAGTGCGAGACCAGCCTAGGCAATGTGGAGAAACCCTGTGTCTACAAGAAAATACAAAAATTAGCTGGGTGTGGTGGCACATGCCTGAAGTCCCAACTACTTGGGAGGTTGAGATGGGAGGATTGTTTGAGCCCAGGAGGCAGAGGTTGCAGTGAATTGAGATTGTGCCACTGCACTCCATCCTGGGTGCCAGAGCGAGGTTCTGTCTCCAAAAATAATAAATAATAATAATAATAATAATAATAATAATAATAATAATAATAATAAATAGATAGATAAAATTGTAAGCCCCAACTCTTGCTATCCCACCTTCCTAACTTAATTTCCTTCTTGGTCTTTATTACCACCCAACCTCCTACATCTTTTACTTATTTATTTTATTTATTGACTTTCTTCCCCACTAGACTATAAACATAATGACCATGGGAGTTTTTTTATTCACTTCTGTATATCCAGCAGTTAGAACAGTGCCTAGCCTATAGTAGGTACTCAATAATAAATGAATTGATAGGTGGATCTCCTCACTTCTGGTTCATTTCCATTCAATCCATTCCCCCATTGCTATCTGATTTATCTTTTTAAAGATACATCTTTTATTACAAAACAATTACTCTCTGGCTAAAAGTTTTGTATTGCTTTAAGATAAAATTCCTGAGGAAGGCTACCAGGCACCCTCTAATTTGGCTCCAATCTGGCTTTCAGTCTCACCTTTCCATCATGCAACACACATTTCAGCCACCCACAACTTCTCCTTTCTCCTGTTCATACCTCTTGGCCTTTGCACAGGACAGACTGTCTGTACAAAGTATTCTACCTTCTCTCCATAAGGAGAATTTCTTCATCCTTCAAGGCAGTACTGAAATGTCACTTTTATGAAGATGTCTCAATTCTACCTGACCTCCATGCTTCCCTGAATGCCAGACATCCCTCTCTTATATGTACTCTTTATCACAATGCATTGCCATTATTTGTCCATGTGTCTGTCTCGTCAGTCAGCTCTTTAAGGACGAGAAGCATGCCTGATTCATCTTTATGTCCCTGTCAACATAACCATCCCCGCCTTCAGACCTATGTACTTAATAAATAAGTTATCAATCAATTAGGCCAATGTGGTTGTCTGAATAATGGCCCCAAAGATGTCCATGTCCTAACCCCCAGAACCTGTGAATATGTTACCTTCTGTGGCAAAAAGGGCTTTGTAGATGTGATTAAGTTAAGGATCTTGAGACGAAGGAATTATCCTGGATTGTCCGGTTGGTGACCAAGGTAATCACAAGAGTCCTTAAAAGATGGAAGAGGGAGGCAGGAGAGCAGAGAAAGAGATGTAAGGTCCCATGCAGAGATTGGAGCAATGTCACTGTTGGGAGGGGGACACGAGCCAAGGAATGTGGGCGGCCTCAGAAGCTGAAAAAGGCAAGGAGTGGATTCTCCCTCTAAAGTGTCTACAAGAAACACAGCCCTGTTGTCTTGATTTCAGTCCCAAAAAACCATTTTCAGATTCTAATCTTCAGGACTAGAAAATAATAAATTTGGGTGGTATTAAGCCACTAAGATTGTGATAGTTTATTATAGCAGCAATAGGAAGCTAATAGCACCAATATTAATGAAAAATCAGAAACAGAGTGTGGTGGGCTGAGTCCTGCGTGGATAGGGCAACTGACATGGAAGTGGCAAATCAGGGTGAATGTTCCCAGCGTATCAAGAGATAGATATCATCTCCCAATGTTGCTTCATCCCTCTCACCCTGGGGTTCTTACACAATAGCAGACATTGGCAATATGTGCTACAAAACATTATGCTGTGCTAATTACCTGTTCGGCCTTCAGTCTGGGCTTCCTTGCTAAAGAGGCCTCCACTGACAGTTAGGATCTGTATCTTGTATTTCTTGCCTGGTGTTAGATCTTCAAATTTGTGTTGCTTAGTGGTGGCTGGCTCTGATGTGTTGCGCAGAAGGATTCCATTTTCAGTTAGAAGCAGGATATCATATCTTTCTGCCACACCAGCAGCTTTTTGCCAACTTACTATTAAGGAATAACTGCTGTATGCATTGTCTGCAATTACTCCTTGGACAGATGCTGGAACTGCAGAGAGACAAGTGGAGCAACAAAATACAGATTTTATCACTTAGGGTAAAGTCATCAATTGAGAAAAACTCCTGAATCAACTGCAGGTAGAAGATGATGCATTTGCTTTATTTGTGTGTCATTGACACTTTCTGTGTGCCCTTATGGAGAAAAGAGGAGAAAGGATTTGTTGGCTTAACCTGTCTGTACAACTACTTTGATTCTCCATTTTTTCTCTGATTTTAAATAGGATCTCAGATAGAAAAGTTAGTGAAAATGGCCCTGATAAATATGCAGAGTGGTGCATACCTATGAATCTAGAAAGTGAAGAATGCTGAGCAAGTTCATGTTCAGTGAATGTGGGTTTGACAGCTGAATTATGTCTCTTGTTTAGACTTTTATTACTAACATTAACTAAGGTCAAAACTTCAAGACTTGACTTCAGCAGTAGTGGATACTAGTATTTGTTCTATAGCTCCTGAGGTGAAAGGCAAAATAGTATTATTGTTATTATAATAATATTTTCTGTACTAGGTTCATTTCTTTTCTCATTCTACATAATCTTCCTAGATTTCGTCTATGTCCATGGTTTGAAGTGTCATCCATAAGGTGACAACTCCCAAATTTAAACTTTCAGTTTAGATGTTTCTCCTGCTTTTGCAAATTACATCTCTCCCTGAATGTACCACAGACATCCAACACTCAAGACGTCCAAATTGGACTCCTCATCTCCCTCCCCCAATATTCTCATTGTTTTTTTGTTTCTATCTCTTGGTTCAAGTCAGAAACTTCAGTTATCACTCTCACCCTTGTATATATAATCAAATACGAGTTTTATTTCTGTATCCTAAATCTTCTATCTCTTGAATCTAGCCACTCCCTCTTTGTGTACTGCTACTACCTCAGGACCACATCATACCCTTTAGCAAGTATAAATGAGACCATACATTATTGCAACTGCCTATTGACCAGTCACTTGTGTCCTTACCTCCTACTCTTTCAATCTGCAGACTCTATCTAGCATATTTTCATAGCACTCCCATGCTAATGGCCCTATAGTGGCTCTCCATAATTCCAAAACACCTTCACAGGCAAACAAAGCTCTTTGTGATTTGGTCTCTCTACTTACCTGGCCACATGCCTCACATTTTTTATTCTAGTATACTTTTGCTTTTTATACTTTTAGTAGAGATGGGGTTTTGCCACGTTGCCCAGGCTGGTCTCGAACTCCTGGACTTAGGCTATCCACTCACCTCAGCTTCCCAAAATGTGGGATTACAGGCATGAGCCACCGTGCCCGGCCTTTATTCTAGTATACTAAAAAAGGTGTAGGTTCCCAAATGTGCCATCCTTTCTCTCACCTCCAGGGCTTTGTTTTCTCTGTTGGAACGAAGACAACTTACACTTCACCTGGATGACTTCTTAGTCTTTCTTTAAATATTACTTCCTCCTGAAAGCCTTCCCTGACTCTTCTTGTTTGCTCCTCTAACATCTCATAACCACTTTTTTCTTAGCACGTACCATGTTTTACTGTAATTGCCTTTTTACTTTTCTATCTCCTTCACTAGATTATAAGGTTCTTGAGGTCAGGGGCTTTGCCTTGCTACTGAATGCCCACTTTCTTTTTTTGGAGACAGAGTCTCACTCTGTCACCAAGCTGGAGTGCAGTGGCATGATCTCAGCTCACTGCAAGCTCCGCCTCCTGGGTTCATGCCATTCTCCTGCCTCAGCCTCCCGAGTAGCTGGGACTACAGGCGTCTGCCATCACACCCAGCTAATTTTTTGTATTTTTAGTAGAGACGGGGTTTCACCATGTTAGCCAGGATGGTCTCAATCTCCTGACCTTGTGATCCACCCACCTTGGCCTCCCAAAGTGCTGGGATTACAGGCGTGAGCTACCGCGCCTGGCCCGAATGCCCACTTCTAACACAGGATTTGTCATAGGGTTAAAGATATGCAGATATAGATATAAATATAGATATGAAATAGAGGCATAGTAGGGCATGGTATAGAAGCCCCAGACCCCACAACTAAATAAGTGGTCATGAGAATGGGAGACATCTAAGAAGTATTGTGTCACAGTGGAGAGGGCACGAGGTTTGGGGCCAGACAGACCTAGACTTGAATTATAGCTTTAGGTCTTGTTATATACGTATCCTTGATACTGTTTTACAAGCTTTCTGAACTGTTCTTTCCTCATCTGTAAGAGAACTATAGTATGGCTAGAGATCTTTCAAAAATAATACATGAATAGTGATATTGATATAAACAGATATATTATTCATACATTTGATACTTGTTTTTTTAGCTCTACCAGGTAAAGTAGATGGCACAGATGTGTACTCTTTCTTAAAAGGTAGAACTTTTGAAAAATGCATAATTATGGAAGTCTCCTTATTAAAATTTATTTATTTATTTATTTACTTATTTATTGGGACAGGGTCTCACTCCGGTTGCCCAGGCTGGAGTGCAGTGGCACGATCACGACTCACTGCAGCCTTGACCTCCCGGGCTCAGGTGATTCTTCCACCTCAGCCTTCCAAGCAGCTGGGACTACAGGTGTGCACCACCACGCCTGGCTAATTTTTTGTATTTTTAGTAGAAATGGGGTTTAGCTATGTTGCCCAGGCTAGTCTCGAACTCCTGAACTCAAGCAATCTACCTGCCTTGGCCTTCCAGGGTGCTGGGATTACAGGCGTGAGCTACTGTGCCCAGCCTGCTTGTTAAAATTTAAAATTTTATTATCCTTTAGCAAGTATAAAAATGTGTTCAAATGATTTGGTTTCTGATTCCCTTTCATTTGTTTTGCAGATCTCTATTAAGAGAAAAATACAAAGAATAAATGAGTAAGGCTCTTGAAACCATTGAATTGTACAAACTTTGGTGGTTTTAAATCTGGATTTGTGAATAGCTGAGCCCGTTCACTGTCCCATTTTGGAGAACCATGAGGCATTCTACAATCTAGCCCTTCTCCAGGTGGATGCTTACCTGTCCGCCCAACCACATTTATCTGATTCTTCAGGGACCCGCTGACTGAGGCAATCATGATCTGGTACTGCTCCCCGGCCTCCAGTCTGTGGAACGTGTGCTCAAAGACGTGCTTGGGAATAGTCTGAGAGTCAACCTTTTGACTGTGCCTGAATGCCGACACCGTGTAGGAATCAACGTCTCCCCCACCAGGAGTCCAGTTCACCGTCAGGCTATCTGTTGCTCCATTGGGAGAAATGTGAATATTTTTGACAGCACTAGGAACTAAAACAGAAAATAAATTTAAAAGTCATCACTTAGAGAATGAACTGTTGAAATTTTCAAACAAAGTTTTGAATGCTTCTGATGTTTTGGCACCCACTGAGAGAACTCACATGAAAAAGAAAGTAACAATTTGCCACTTTTCTCTGATTTTTCTGTGTGAACTAAAGTTGATGGGGGAAAGCTTAGGGGGAAGTCAAAGCCGGTGAGTGGAAATGAGGAATGCTAATTATATAGCGAGGGGCTAGTTAGGGTGTCTTGGTCCAAGTTTTGGTTTTCTCACTCACTAGCTGTGGGACTACAGGCAAATTACTTGACCTCTGTAAGTTTTAGTTTCTTCATTAGGAAAAATGGCAGTGATGATAATACTAACCAGCCCATAGAGTTGTGAAGATTGATTCTTTTTTAATTTAATTTTATTTTATTTTTGAGGTAGGGTCTCTGTCTGTTGTCCAGGCTGGAGTGCAATGGCATGATTATGGCTCACTGCATCCTATACCTCCTGGGCTCAAGTGATTCTCCCACCTCAGCCTCCCCAGTAGCTGGGACTACAGGCACGTAACACCGTGCCCGGCTAATTTTTTTGTATTTTTTGTAGAGACAGGGTTTTGTCATGTTGCCCAGGCTGTGCTTGAACTCCTGGGCTCAAGCTATCCTCCTGCCTTGGCTTCCAAAGCATTGTGAAGACTGAACAAGATGTAGACATAAAATGCTTTGCTGTGGGTCTGGTTCATGGTGAACTGTCAGTACATGTTAACTACTATGGCAACACTCCTAAAAGAGTTCTAAAGAAGTGATACCCAAGTAACACTTAATTCTTAATCTGTGTGCCTCAGAAGCACCAGCTGATCACATCAGTTCATTGCTATTTCTCTGAAAGCACCCTCCAACCCCGCCACTCTCTGCTGACATCATACTTTATTTTCATTCATCCAGGTTGGACAACATCATTGTCACTATCAACATGACTTTGTCCCTTCTTGCTGTCTCCCTTTTATCCCTCCAAATGCTCAATCGAAATACCTGAACTACCCGAAAGTTAAATGCACCACTGCATCTATTCAGGTTCAAGAACAGTATTTCACATTACCTGTGAAGCCCTCAATGAAGGCTGACTGCTGTACATCCCCGCTAATCGTCAAGACAAGAATTTTGTATTGGCGGCCTGGTGTTAGGGAAGTAAATCGATACTCGGTTGCGGTATTTACAAGGTGAAAAGGAGGAAATACTTTCATGTCATTGAAGAGCAGCTGGATCTCATATTGGTCGACATCCCCATTAGCTCCTGACCAAGTCACATGCAAGTCCTCAGTGCTCCTGTTGCGCAATGTTAGATCCTTAACAGGCTCTGGAACTAGGGAGAAAAATGAGAAGACATTTCAGGAAAGGAACTGATCAGAGTTTACCTACATAATAATTTATGAATCACATTCAAGGAACTGGCAACATCTCCCTTCCCCAAATAAACCACTAGCACTACTTCATGCATAATTAAACAAGAAAAATTGGAAGCAACTATTAACATTGTGGTTTTTTCCTGACATAAATGTTACATGATCAGCATTGGTAGAACATAATTATAAAATGAGTTATGATCTCAATCATAAGATAAAACAAGAAGTCTAGAATCTAAATGCCATGATGCAGGAAGATAGGGAAGAAAAATGGGACATTTAGCCTTCTTGCTCCCTCACTATGTTTGCTTTTATCTACCAATAAATATTCTGTAATTATAGGCCATGGCTTGGCTGAATGATGTTAGCACCAAGTGAGACTTACTGGGAATGTAATGTACTAATGAATAAGCAGAAAAAATTCAAGGTTCAGATAAATTACTAGAGACTTTCAAGTCCAACCAACTGTCAGATTTTGCAATCGTTCCACTTACTTGTTCTCCCATTCCCTTGTTCATTGGCTTCATATTGTCCACTTTTTGTAGTAACAGTGACACTGTACAACCGTCCAGGGACTAGCTGAACAAATACACATTCGTTTTCTGACTTGGGAATGCTTTTAGTTTGAATGAAGTTGTTTTTGTTTTTAATGGTGACTTCATAGTGATCAAAGTCTCCAGTGGCATGCACCCAGGATACCCTTAAATAGTCACTCCTGGCTGAGTTGCTAACACTGACTCCCTGGACTTTGTCAGGCACTGAAAAGGAAACAGAGAGTAACTAAATATTTATGAATTCTGAGTGAGTAATTGATCACAGATGACAAGCTGGGACAATAAAAAGAGAGAGTAGATTATTATTGTGTGCATTTAAAAGAAAAATCTTAGACCTTAGGTTACAAATTTCTGGAGGGGAAAGATTGTTACACTATGTGGAGTGATTAAACGGATCTTTTAACAGAAGCTGATGAACTCATTCTAAGCCTGCTGTTTGCCTGCACAAAGTGTCATGTATAAGATGGAACATTAAACATGATGGCTGATGATTAATATGAGTGATGGTAAACGATATAGATAATTCCAACATACCTTGCTGACTCAAAAGTTACTAAGAAGAATATAAGCAATCCCCCAACCCGCCCCCCTCAAAAAAATGAGGCTATGCATGGTGGCTCACACCTGTAATCCTAACACTTTGGGAGGCTGAGGAGGGCAGATCACTTGAGGTCAGAAGTTTGAGAACAGCCTGGCCAACATGGTGAAACCCCGTCTCTACTAAAAAATACAAAAATTAGCTGGGCATGGTGGTGCACACCTGTAGTTCCAGCTACTCGGGAGGCTGAGATGGAAGAATCACTTGAACCCAGGAGGCACAGGTTGCAGTGAACCAAGATCACATCATGCCCCTGCACTCCAGCCTGGGTGATGGAGCAAGACTCCATCTCATAAAAAAAAAAAAAAAAAGAAAAGAAAAGGAAAAAGAAAAATGGAAGAAGAAACACATATGGTTATTTGCATAATAAATGAAGAGATTTTCCACATCACTGGTGATCAAGGAAATGCAAGTCAAAACCACAGTGAAATACTGTTTTACATCCATTTGACTGGCAAAATTAAAAAACTATATAAAAACCACGTGTAGAAGAATATATACAGGAGACTGGATAATGAATACATACATATACACACATACACACACACAGTGAAATATTATATAATAGTTATAATTAATTCCTTAACTCAAAACACAAAAATATGGATTTCTTGTCCTTAACATCAAAATACAAAATATGGATGAATCTTACCTGTATAATAAGTAAAACATCTAAGTCCCTAAGATATTAAATACTACATTAAAAATACCTTTTTAAATAATGTTAAAAACAACAAAAAATTTTGAAACCCATAATTTTAGGCCTGTATATAAATGCAATAAAACTATGCAAGATGGAAAGCAAGGGAGAGGTGAACATAGGAGTCAAGATGTTGGCTACCTTTGAGTGAATTCACGAGGTGGGGACCACATACTTTGATGTAGGTTATTGTCAAGGTCCTAGCTTTTATTTTAGGTACTGGTTGGTTTCTTGTGTACATGTTAAATTATCAAAAATTACTAACTAGATGCCTAAAAAGTAAAGGTGGCAGTTGATGCATGGTTTCTTTTTTCTTTTCTTTTCTTTTTTTTTTTTTTTTTTTGAGACAGAATCTCACTCTCTTGCCCGGGCTGGAGTGCAGTGGTGCGATCTTGGCTCACTGGAACCTCTGCCTTCTGGTTCAAGCGATTCTCCTGCCTCAGCCTCCCAAGTAGCTGGGATTACAGGTGCCTGCCACTACACCTAGCTAATTTTTTGTATTTTTAGTAGAGATGGGATTTCACCATGTTGGCCAGGCTGGTCTCAAACTCCTGACCTCATGATTCTCCCGCCTCGGCCTCCCAAAGTGCTGGGGATGCATGGTTTCTTGAACCAAGAATTATGATTAATACAATTTTGTGCATGTGAGGTTCTTTCTAATATATGAACGAAACCATTCTGTATATCTGTGGTCCCCTCCCCAACCAGTAAATAAATATATGCATGTTACTTAGGAACACTGTGGAATAAGGCAATTCTGTATTTAGAGCATGATATTAAGGAGATTTCATTTTTCCATTTGGGGCTGAATTTTAATTCAACAGTAGGCCACAGATTCATTACTATTTCACGGTAACTGGACATTATACATATTAATGAGGAGGAGCATTGAAAAGAGGCATGAACTCGGATCCAGGGTACTAAACTCTTGTCCTAATACTAGCATGTCCTCTGTATTTGGTATATATTAGGGGTTTCTGATCTGACCACATGCCAAGGCTGTGTCCAATTTTTCACCTCTACTTTTTCTCAAATCATGAAATGATCCAGAAATTTCAGTATTTTGGCATGGAAGCTCCATTTTCTCACACCTGCAAGTTGCATTAGCATCCTTTGTTGCCTTGTGTTTACTGATTAGTGTTTGGAATATAGCTCACCACAGATATGGAGCAAGGACAGATATGCTTTCTCCAAGATATTTACCTAAAACCAATTACAGTGTTGTTAGAATACAGTCATCACAGAGTTAAGGAGAGGAAATTATGAAGTGGCATTTTATGCATGGGCTAAGAAAGGTCAATGATCCAGGCAATTTGCTAAAGGCAAAGCAACTATTACAGGAAGAAAAACCTGGCTGAATATCACGTTAAGTCAATAAGGAGCTCTCCAGGTGGAACGGGGTAATTTGTGGAGACCTGCCTTGCTACACAGTGAGATGATGTGATACAGAATTAGAAATATTGGTATTTTCACCCAAAATGTAGAACAAGAGCATCAGAAATGGAAAAGGGCATTAAGATAATCAGCCAAAATCATCAAGAGAACAACTCAGACATGACCCTCCAGTTAAACTGATTTGTCAGGGGCAATGATTTGCCTCCATTAGTCGTGTACCAAGTCCAAGTTCATGCCGGTCAAGGAGTCAAGAGGATGCACTGAATAAAGAATCACTTTCTTGCATTTTAAAACAATCTCAGCAAAAGACTTGGCAATATTAAAGTCATACGGATAGGAAATCATCATGAATTGACATTGGTAGGAAGCAAGGGGTTGGTAGTTAGGTAACACATCCTTTAATTTCTGGTGATTTTTAGGCTCCAAGTTGATCAATATGAGACCCTGACATAAGACTGCTTTGTAAATAGAAATCTGCTTTTCAGATCTAAGTCATTATTGTGATTGTCAGTGTAATTGGGCTTCAAATTATTCAAGGGTAGGGATAATCTCTTTATATCCCTGACTAGTGCTCTCGGATACAGCATGATGGAATGGACAGCACTGGAGCTAGACTGAACTCCACTACCAGTCAGCCCTGCAACCCTGGAGAAGCCACACTCCTTCTCTGGGACTTCCTTTATATCCAAATGAGGAAACAGGATTAGATCATTCTAAGGACCCCTTCAATGTCAGCATCCTGTAACAATATAAATCAGAGGTTCTTAGCTTTTTGGAGGTCACAGAAACCATAAGAATCTGATAAAAGCCATGGACTGTTTCTTCTCAAAGAAATGCATATACCTTTCCTATCCCCAGCAACCTCATAAACAATTTCAGGGGTTACTACATTCCTAAAGTCTCCCATGAACCATGGACTCCCAGGTGGGACCCCTGATCTAAGTGATTTCTGATTATTCCTTTGCCAAGTATTTACTGAGTGCCTACTAAGCCCCAGGTCCTGCGCTAGGTAACAGGATAAGGACAATTGTCTCAGAACCTCATGGAAAAACTGACATTTTAAAATACAGAAATCAACCCATAGCTTAGTAGGAAACATTTGACAATGTATTGATGCCAACCTTAAGCAGAAATCTCAGGTATAAACCCCAGAAAGCATAAATATATTGGGAAAATGGTAGCTATTTAAATTTAATTCTTTCCAGCACATTGGACTGAACATTCATTTCCTTTGCTAAGATTTTTGCTCCCTAGTCCCAGAACCATAAAGGTTCACATTTTCACCTTGTGTGAAAAAGGATGAATAGTGGTTTTGACCAACAGACATTTCAGGATGGATTTTAGGATGGAGAGCTTTGTAGGCACTGGAGTCATTCAGAACTGGGTTTAAAACCAGGATCTGAAACACACTGGCTGTTTAACAAGGTAAACAGTTGGGCGAGTTACTTGACCTCCCTGAACCTTGGTTTCCTGATCTGTAAAATGGGAATAATAACAATGACTACCTCAATAAGGAGTTCATAAGGGTTAGTTATAGTTAAGATATATAAAGCCAGGCCCTAGCAACCAAAAAGTACTCCATAAACGGGAACACTTTTTTCACTATTTGAATATAATATAAATTCTAGTCACACAGGGTCTGCTCACATAAGGAGTTTCTTGGGTTAAAATACGAAGACTTCATAACAGTTTTGTGATCTCAAGGGCCTTTCATCCCATCATTACAGAATTGCTACAGCTCTGTGGTGCCCTGAGCCACATGTGAATTGGTTCTTACGGAGCCCTGAACCTTCATACAGCCTTACCTGTCCGCTCTTGGCTGAAGGAGTGATTTTCATACTTGCCACTCCTTGTAGTTATGGTCACGGTGTAGAGGCGGCCTGGGGTGAGGGAGCTGAAGGAACATTCTCTGACAGACTTGGCAATGACAAGGGACTGAACCACCTTGCCGTCATGAGACAATGTTACCTCATAGTTATCCACATCTCCGGGCGCCAGCAGCCAGGAAACGCTGAGGTAGTCATTACGACCGGAATTGTTCACCGTTACTCCACTCACACTGGAAGGGACTGTGATTTTGAAAGGTGGGGGGCGGGGGGGGGGGGGAAGGGGGATTCAAAAAGAAAGACACAGTCAAAAGTTTGAGTCGTCTATTGCAGTCAGCACAAACCGTGGACTCACTCAGGAGATCTAATCTGATTATATAAGAGGTCAAGGAAGCGTGAGGATTTCACTCAGCTTCCAGAAGCTGAGTGTTCTTACATCAGAAAACTAATCAAAATAAAAATGTCCGGAGGCCTTTGGGATGCCTCGTAAATACAAGGATGCCACTACTGCATTTTTATGGGGTTGCTGTTTGTAAAGCATTTCAAGTGGAGACATCCTTATACAATGTTTTAGAAGGTTCCCTGTAAGAAAGGGAACAAATATTTCAACAATCTAAATGAATCAACTTGAACCAAACTTACCAATAAAGCAAAAATGTTTGAGTGGAAAGGGGAAGAATACGATAGCTTTTCTAAAGACCTTAAACTGGGATAGCTTCAATTTTTTTGTGATGAAGTTATTCATTCCTGGGAAGTAATAGCTAACACAACCAGAGGGACCGTTTTCCCTTTGCAAGGCATTTCCTGCCCTCTAGTGGTAAGAAATAAGCCTAAAAACCTATCTTGGAAGTAAGAAGTCTGGAAGCTGGACCAACCAAGGGCAGAGAGAACTGTTATGGCGATAATGGGTTTTCTGATGTCAACTATAATCATTTGCTTATATGAATTGGGGATTAGTGTCACAAACGTTTACTGAGAACCTACTATTTGCCAGGTATACAAAAATGAAAAACGCATGAATGTCTTCAAGAAGTTCTCTGGTTGGAGGTATAGTCAGCAAATTAGTAATTGCAGTATTGAGTAAAAGTTGAACCACATATCAGAAATAGGTGCCCATTAAATAGTACTGCCATAAATGAATATAGGGTTAAAATATTACAGTATATATGAACTACACTACTGTTTTAATCATTAGTTGATTAACTTAACAGTTTCATATGATTGTCAATATCAGTACATCACTTATAATGGACAGGATTTGGCTAGATGACTTCTGAGAATCCTTCTAATGTAATATGTTCGGACTTTGTGAATTAAGCCCCAAAGCATACCTTATACTTAAAAGCACTTATCCATCACTAAAAATTATAAACTGCATTCTAGTGAACAACTCTGGTAATGTTGATCCACATATATGGACATTTCCTAGATATAAAGTTGAACTTTTTAGCCAGAAGATTTATATATTGGTACATCTCTTCCTTCCTTTTCTTTCCTTCTTTTCTTCCTTTTTGCTTTCTTTCCTTCCTTTCTTCTGCCATCCAACCATCTATACATCCTTTAGTTGCTCTCAAAAGCAACTCATTATGCTTGTTTTTAAAAACTGCTGGAAATATTTGCAACTACTAACATTTTATTAGAAAAGACACAATTATCAAAAGTTTTCACAGAAATATGATTCACATGTTTAAGAAAAAATAGATACAAAATTTGTTTTTGCTTTAGGATGAGCATTTTCCCAGATTAGAATTAGATTTGTTAAGTATATCTAATATCTTTAATTTTAAATATTCTGCCATCTTATCTGGGCTGGGAGGGTTTATTTATATGTTTCAACTCAGTGGAAACAGGTGAAATATAAGAATACCTTTCAAAATTATTTCAATATTGACTAATGTTTCAGCAATTTGAGGAGATGATAAGGATTATCAAGGCCTTACCCACTGAATTCTTTACAATTGACTGTGTACAAAATTTACTAAAAGAGGCACCTTTCAAAATCCCTATTATTGTGCTTTACAGGAGTCTCCCATTTTCCCCTTTATCGTGATAATGTGCACTCTTCATATGTTTGAGTAAAATAACTCGTGCTCAATTTATTCATATTTGATTCTCTCCTCAAAACTTTATGACCATTCTTCAAATAATTTCTTGTCCCTTTTTCCCTTTTTTGAATGCTTCTATTATATAATATGGGTCAAATACTTGTACCTTTATTCTAATTAAAATATAAATAAAAATATAAATTAAAAAATAAAAATAATTTTAAGTCCCACTTACTTAAAGTACACAGTTATTTCAAGAGATAGCACAGACTAGACTATTTTAGTAGCTCACAATAAGTTGGACAATCCTTGTGGTATATAAAATGAGAATCAACCTGTGTGGCAGAATATGGTTCCCCGACCATTTCCTTTTCCTCTTGACACACAGCTAGACTGCATTTCTCAGGCTCCCAGGCAGTCAGATGTAGCCATGTAACTGAGTTCTGGCCAGTGGAATGTGGGTGGAAGTGAAATGCCTACTCCCAAGTCTGATGAGTTGTACCCCTCCCCAACCTCCATTCTCTGGAGAAATGGGGAGAGCTCTGAGGACCTACAGCAAAGAAGAGCCACTGATAGTAGGAGACTGTATCCCAACCAATAGAGGCATCCAATCATGAACACCCACATTATACAGTGTCTAAGCATGAATTAAATCAGTCTAATGTGACTGATACAACTGCAAATCACTGGGAAATGAATGCAAGGTCGTCCTCCACTCCTCTCCTCAGCTTTATTATTTCTCCTTCCCTATTCTGACACCCAGGGTAGGAGTGAATTATTGTGTGTGGATTAAAACACAGAAGCTTAGGGAAATAAGTTAATGGCAGAGCTAGGACCAAAACCTAGGCCTCCTGATTTCCATGCTAAGCTTTTCAGCTACCTACCCCCAAGTATGCTACACCAATGGATGGTGCCAAGAACCATTAAAAGAAAGGAAAGAAAATATCAGGGAGAAAGATGCAGGTGACAGGCCGGGCGCAGTGGCTCACACCTGTGATCCCAGCCCTTTGGGAGGCCGAGGCAGGCAGATCACGAGGTCAGGAGATCGAGACCATCCTGGCCAACAAGCTGAAACCCTGTTTCTACTAAAAGTACAAAAATTAGCTGGGCGTGGTGGTGCGTGCCTGTAATCCCAGCTACTCGGGAGACTGAGACAGGAGAATCGCTTGAACCAGGGAGTCGGAGGTTGCAGTGAGCCAAGATCGTGCCACTGCACTCCAGCCTGGCGACAAAATGAGACTCCATCTCAAAAAAAAAAAAAAAAAAAAGAAACATGCAAGTGACAATGTCAGCTGTCATAGAATGAGGGAAATGGGCATACACCAGTGAATTTCTACCAAGACTATGAAACATCTTCTCAGTGACTTCATTGTTCTTCTGGGAGAGTTAATGAAGTTAATGTCCTCTGGGTTCATTAAGTAGATGAGATTCATGATTTTGGAAAGAGATGCATCTATGATGCCTGCAGCTGATAAACAGAATTTGAGTGTTGAGGATGCAGAAGGAGAAGCCTGAAATCCAACTTAAAATAATTATATAAAATTAAGTAGACAAGGTCCCACTAATAATTATCAAAGCTTCTATTGGGTTTATGTAATTTTTTTCTAAGAAATGAACATACATTTTATATATCATATATATTAATTTTTTATGTTCTTTCATTGTATTACATAGAAAATTCTATGTAATTTCTTCCTCGGTGCCATGGCTCCCTGACATACATGACCATAATGACACTTATTTGTTTACTTAGCTTTCTAACAGGGAGCTATTAAGGTCAAGAAAAATTGTTTAGATAGCATATTAAGCACTTGTTTAACGTTGCTTATGAAAATATATGAGACCTGAAAATTAGATCAACTCCACCTCTAACCATATTAATTGGAGATCATTTTCTTTTTATGTCTTGCAAACCAAGAATATATAAGAGTGAAAGATGCTTTCTTTGGGAGGTTTGTTTTGTTTTTTATCCATTATTGTTTACCTTAACTGGAACATAAACATTTCAAAGGAAATCAACTGAATAGGGGGATAAGTCTAGACATCGAGTGAGGAGTTCTTACATGTTCATTGGAGATGTTAAAATATTCAGCCAGGAGTGGTGGCTCACGCCTGTAATCCCAGAACTTTGGGAGGCCGAGGCGGGTGGATCACCTGAGGTCAGGAGTTCGAGAGCAGCCTGACCAACGTGGAGAAACCCTGTCTCTACTAAAAATACAAAGTTAGCAGGGCGTGGTGGCACACGCCTGTAATCCCAGCTACTCGGGAGACTGAGGCAGGAGAATTGCTGAACCCAGGAGGCGGAGGTTGCGGTGAGCCGAGATCACGCCATCGCACTCCAGCCTGAGCAACCAGAGCGAAATTCCGTCTCAAAAAAAAAAAAAAAAATCAGAATTTATTCTCTCTTGCCATCACCCATCGCCCAATTTCCATTCCATATACCTTCTGGATGGCTAGCTTTTGTGAAACTTAGCTTTTGTAAAGGCCAGGGATGAGTCTGATTTTAGGATATTTCTATAATATTCTGATTAGGGGTCTCATGTACTCAGATCTTAGTTAAGTCACAGACACATATCTCTACTTCTTACCTGTTCTTCCCTCCACAACCACTTGTCGGGAAGAGATCCCTCCACTCACTGTTGTTACCACCACGGAGTACAGGCTGCCGGACTTGAGAGAGTGGAAGCTGTATCTGCTGGTCTCACTGGAGATGCTTTCATTTTTAATGACCACATTTTCATGGATCAGTAAGACTTGGTAAAATTCTACGTCTCCTTGTGCCTGGGTCCAGTTAGTAAACAGACTACTGGTCATTCCTTGGTTGGCCACATGCAAGTCAGTCACTTGGGCAGGCACTAAAACAGTAGACAGAAGAAAAAACAAATGACACTTAGTCACCTTAAGAAAGTGTAAGAAAAATGAGTCAAAAAATGGAGACAGACTTGAAAGTACTAAAAATAATTTTTGTGTTGTTGCTATAGACTCTCAGTTCTATTTCCTGTGGCATATGGAGAACTACTCCTCTAGAGAGGCTCTAGTACTTTGAAAAAGCTGCTTATATAGGGAATCAAAATTATTTAAGATCCAAAGATGAGATGATGCATGCTTATTAAGTGGTTTTGATTTTAAATTTTAGATAATGAAGGCTGCTATTTTTGAAAACTGCTTAGTTAATGTGATTTTATCTGTCCTTACCCCATGAGAATTCAAAGCTATCTAATCTACCTGAGCCAATGATTGTTATGGGGTGGTATTGGGAATTCCCTTCAGTCTGTTGATTATGGTCTAGCAAACTGATTAGTTCTATACTGGCACATTCTTAAAGGGGCTGTTATTATACATGAACATGTGATAATAATATAAATTATAATATATATATTAAAAAATAATGATAATAACAACAACTACTGAAGGCCTACTATGTGCCAGTTATGAGCTATATGTCTCATAAAGGTTACATTATTTGACACCCATTCAGAACTCTATAAAGTTGACTTTATTATTCCATTTATTAACAAGGAAACCAAGGATCATAAAATGTAAGTAATTTAGCCTATATCACAGTGCTAACAAATAGCCAACCTGGAACTGAAAGCTAGATTTATCTAACCCCTAAGCCTGTGTCCTTTTCCTAATTAACAACATTTATTTCTTCCAACTTATCATTTAACAAATCTTATACACAGATCTTGAAGTTGGCACTTGGTCAACATACATTCTTCTTTGTGCCTCTTTCCTGAATTACAATAATCAAAGGGACTGGAACCTTGGCACCCCTCTTTCTCAAAGTTCATTGACTTCTGGATTAAGATACAAAAGCGTTCATTAAAAAAATCCTACTGTATATGGATCAGATTCAATTCTAAAGATTCAATTATAATTCTAAATTTTATATGAAAGGCAAACAGCTACAGTGGCCAAAGCAATTTTGAAAAAGATGAATAAAGTTAGAGGACTAACACCACCTGATTTCACTAAAAATCTTGTAATCAAGACAGGATAATACTGGCAAAGGGCAGACAGAAACATAGATTGATAGAACAGAATTGAGAGCCCAGAGATAGAAGAATATGCTATCAATGGATTTTTTAGAGATTCAAAGGCAATTTCATGGAGAAAAGATAGTCTTTTCAATACATAGAGGTAGAATTATCAGATGTCTATATGCAAAGAAAAAAACCTTCACCTATATCTCACATCATATATAAAAATTAACTCAAAATGGGTCGCAGACCTACATTTAAAACCTAAAACTATAACCTTCTAGGAGAAAACCTTTGTGACCTTGATTTAGGCAAATATTTTTAGATATGACACCACAGCATGATTTATGAAAGAAAAAAACTGATAAATTGGACATCAAAATGAAAAACCGACAGAAAACATTTTGACCAAGGACAAACAAACAATCCTATTTTAAAATCCAGCAAAATATTTGAACAAAAACTTCCCCAGAAAAGATAAATGGGTGACAAATAAGCTTGTGAAAGGATTCTCAAACCCATTAGACATTAGAAAAAGGCAAATTAAAACCACATGAGCTATCATTATCTTATTATAATGGCTATTCCATTAGAATGGCTAAATTTTAAAACAAACTGCTAATACCATGTACTACATGCTGAGAACACGGAGGAAGTGGAAATTTCATACATTGCTGGTGGGAATGTAAAATTTTACAATACTTTGGAAAGCAGTTTGGCAGTTTTCTACAAAGTTAAACATGCATTTACCATATGACCCAGCAATATGGGTGGTGGGGATGATAAAAATGACCTTAGGTCTAAAACAATGTCTTGGACTTCCCTTTCTGGCAGTATGATAGGCTAGATACCATGAAAATCCTTCTAATAAACACAACTATACATATTGGATAAAATGTGAAAATGTAAATGAATGACTTGTCAGGAATGTAAGAGATTCTCAAAGGCCAAAAAGTAAAGGATAGAGAGGTAATTGGATCATAAAGCGAACTGTTGTGTTGAGAGCACCTTTCAAATGCAAATGTAAGCTTTGATTTTATAGCACTGCAGGATATTGGAGAAAGGAGGTAAAGTGTAGATTTTTCCAGGCTGAAGAAACTCATAGCTGACCTTGCATAACATTGGAAAGGCTACATTCTAAGTATAAGTGAAATAAATAGTCTCTCTTTACTCCCCATACAACTTCAGCCTTCTTAATACTGGATGGAGAAAACGATTTCCTCTGAGAACTCATAACCTTAAGATAGTTTCAATGTGTTTGCAACCTGAATTTATAAAACCCAGGTGATCAAAGAACCTAAAGTTGACAATTTAGATTAAAGTAGGTCTGGTTTGATAGCAGTCTTGTGCACCTGAAAGAATCAAATGAAAATTCTTTCTGAAACTCACCTTCAAACATGGCCTTAAATAATTTCCACAGAATAAAATTCTAGGGAAAACAGGCTTACAGTAAAAAGAAATCACATACATTTAAAGAAATAAAGCAACATAAACAAAAGGCAGGAAAATCAAAAGACAACAGAACTTAACTCCTGAAGATTTCAGCTATTATAATTATCAGACATAGGATGGAAAATAAACATTGTTAATTTGCATATAACAATACAGGAGGGGAATGAAAATATAACTAAAGAGCAACAGAGCACAACATAAATTTGAAAGAGAGCCAAAGAGAATGCTTAAAAGTGAACATAACAATTAAAATTTAAAACAGTGGGTAGATTTTAAAATAGATTAGACAAAGCTGAAGAAAGAATTAATGAAATGAATCAAAGATATGAGAAAGTTACCTATACTGTAGTTCAGAGAGAAAACACATGGAAAATATGAAATATATTGATGTGTTCATATATGTGTGTTCTAGAATACCAGAAGATGACAGAGTGGGGAATGGAGAAGGGGCAAGAGGCAATATTAGAGAGTTAATAGCTGAGAATTTCCAGGATTGTAGAAAGACACTAGTTGGAAAGTACAGAAATGCCAATCAATCTTGAGCAAGAGAAACAAAAAGAAATATATCTACACCTTGATCATTATTGTGAAACAACTGAACCCCAAAGGCAAAAAAGCAGTCATAGCAAACAGACTCATAGAGAAATAAAAATCAGACTGACAGCTGACTCAGCGCAACAATAAATCCCAGAAAGACTAGAATAATATCTTTTATGTGCTGAGAGAAAGTAACTTTAAACACAGAGTTGGAACTTAAGGAAAATATCTTTCAAGACCGAGAGCTATATAAAAATGAGAGCTATATAAAAATATGCCCAGCAAAAACAAAATTTGAGAGAGTTTGTCCCTAGAAACTCTCAATGAAGAAATTTGAATAACGTTCTCCAGGATAAAGGAAAATAATCCCAGATAAAACATCTCAGATGCAGGGGGAAAAAATGAGAAAAAAGGTAGTAAATTGGTAGGTAAATCTAAACAGATGTTGACTATATAAAGCAATAATTATATTTTTGTGGGATCAAAAGAGGAGAGAAAAATAAGATACAGGACAATAGTATATACATTGAAAAAAGAAATTTCTTTTTTTTTTTTTTTTTGAGGCAGGTTCTCGCTCTATCACCCAGGCTAGTGTGCAGTGGCAGGATCTCGACTCATGCAACCTCCACCTCCTGGGTTTAAGTGATTCTTATGCCTCAGCCTCCCGAGTATCTGGGATTACAGGTATGTGCCACCACTCCCAGCTAATTTTTGTGTTTTTAGTAGAGACAGTGTCTTGCCATGTTGGCCAGGCTGGTCTTGAATTCCTGGCCTCAAGATCCACCCATCTCGGCCTCCCAAAGTGCTGGGATTACAGATGTGAGCCACGGCGTCCAACTAAAAAGGGAAATCTTGATGACTTTGCTTCCAATTACACTGAAAAAAATGAAAGCAATTAGAAGATAACTGCTCACCCTACAACGATCCACCTATTGGCATCTGCACCCACATATTCTCTCTTTCCTAGCTGATACGGTTTGGCTCTGTGTCCCCACCCAAATCTCATCTTGAATTGTAATCCCCATGTGTCCAAGGAGGGAGGTGACTGGATCATGGGAGTGGTTTCCCCCATGCTGTTCTTGTGTTAGTGAGTGATTTCTCACAAGATCTGATGGTTTTATAAGGGGCTCTTTCCCCTTTCATCTCCATCACTTCCCCTCCTGCCACCTTGTGAAGAAGGTGCCTGCTTCCCCTTCACCTTCCACCATGATTTTTAAAAATTAATTAATTAATTAATTTTATTACACTTTAAGTTCTAGGGTACCTGTGCACAACATGCAGTTTTGTTACATAGGTATACATGTGCCATGTTGGTGTGCTGTGCCCATTAACTCATCATTTACATTAGATATGTCTCCTAATGCTATCCCTCCCCCGACCCCCGACCCCACAACAGGCCCCGGTGTGTGATGTTCCCCACTCTGTGTCCAAGTGTTCTCATTGTTCAATTCCCACCTATGAGTGAGAACATGTGGTGTTTGATTTTCTGTCTTTGGGATAGTTTGCTCAGAATGATGGTTTCCAGCTTCATTCACGTCCCTACCAAGGACACGAACTCATCCTTTTTTATGGCTGCATAGTATTCTGTGGTGTAATATGTGCCACATTTTCCTAATCCAGTCTATCATTGATGGACATTCGGGTTGGTTCCAAGTCTTTGCTATTGTGAATAGTGCCGCAATAAACATACGTGTGCATGTGTCTTTATAGCAGCATGATTTATAATCTTTTGGGTATATACCTAGTAATGGGATGGCTGGGTCAAATGGTATTTCTAGTTCTAGATCCTTGAGGATTTGCCAGACTGTCTTCCACAATGGTTGAAATAGTTTACAGTCCCACCAACAGTGTAAAAGTGTTCGTATCTCTCCACATCCTCTCCAGCACCTGTTGTTTCTTGACTTTTTAATGATCGCCATTCTAACTGAACTTCCACCATGATTATAAGTTTCCTGAGGCCTCCCTAGTCATGTGGAACTGTGAGTCAATTAAACCTCTTTCCTTTATAAATTACCCAGTCTTGGGTAGGATCTTTATAGTAGTGTGAAAACAGACTAATATACCAGCTGACATTGAGATTAGATTCCCCATGCTCCTTTCTAAAGCCAATTCCTTCACTTGTGCTCTAGATCCCAATACCTCTTGCCTACTCATGGAATAACTGCAGCAATTCTTCCCTCTCACTTTACATCATCATGATTTCCCTTCTACATCTTCTAGATCATTCCCTCCAGCATAAAACATGCTGTTATTTCTTCTGCCTTTAAAAAATCATCCTCCTTTCAACCATAGTTCCTCTTCTAGATGCTGCCCTATTTCTCTGCTCTCCTTTACAGCAAAACTCCTTGAAACGGTTGTTCTTTACTCTTTTTCAAGTTTAGCAAACTAAATCCAAGCAAAGTAAAAAGAAGGAACTAATAAAGATAAGAACTGCAATTGGTAAAATAGAAAACAAACACAATAGAAAGGATCCATAAAGCAATGCCCAGTACATAATAGGCAGTTAATGAATACTTGTAAATTGCATGTTAAATAGTAATTCAGCAGACAGAACACTTTAAA
Organism: Homo sapiens; assembly: GCF_000001405.40. Taxonomy (NCBI): domain Eukaryota; kingdom Metazoa; phylum Chordata; class Mammalia; order Primates; family Hominidae; genus Homo; species Homo sapiens. The sequence continues at coordinate 70,586,982 of NC_000012.12, forward strand.
ATGTAAAATTTATAAAGGTTACTACCTGTTCTTCCTTTTACTGAAGAGGAATTTTTTAAGTCTCCACTAATACTGGTGACTGTAGCCATGTATTTTCGTCCAGGCACCAGGTCAGTAAAAGTGAATTCTTTGGCATCTTTGGAGAGTGACTTGTGGATCAGTAAGAGGTCTCTGTCAGCTAGGGAAATGATGTATTTCTCCCATTCTGCTACAGGGGTCTGCCACATGATACTCAGTGAGGTTTCATTGGCATGTTTGACACGAAGCTGGAGGACAGCCAGGGGGACTGAGGAAAAAGCAATGGAGATGGGTCATTGATGGACTGAGGCATATTCATAGGGTATACTTTTGATAGTTCTCCTCTTCCATCCTTAAGCGTGTTTCAGTTCAACATTTATTTTATGAATGTCTCTGAGCATTAAAACAAAATCTTATCACAAAAAACTTTGTTCATGTAATGTAACCAGAAATACAGACTCAATTAGAAAACATCTTGCCAGAAGAGTCATTGATTTTTGACTGTATAATACTTTGAGTTTATCTTTTTGTATGAATTCTGTAATACAAAAATATTTACTCCAATCTTGTCATTCACAAAATCACAAAGAAAAGTTCCTGTTTAAGTATTTAGGTGGAGTTAGGAGTATTTGTTACCCCCATAGGTTGAGGAGACCAAGTGCAACTTTCCCTCATTTCTGAGGTGGGGGACACTGATGTGTTCATGGAAGGGCGAGTTGGCTGGCAATAATAGCATTTAATTGAGGACTTATCTCAAAATTGATTCCTTTAAAAGGTTTTATTGTTAAAATTTCTAGGAGACATTAAGAATAAACTGTTGGTTGGGTGCGGTGGCTCACATCTGTAATCCCAGCACTTTGGGAGGCCGAGGCGGGTGGATCACTTGAGGTCAGGAGTTTGAGACCACCCTGGCCAATATGGCAAAACTCCATCTCTACTAAAAATACAAAAATTAGCCGGGCGTGGTGGCTCACATCTGTAGTCTCAGCGGGAGGCTGAGGCATGAGAATTGCTTAAGTGGGGGAGGTGGAGGTTGCAGTGAGCTGAGATGGTGCCACTGCACTCCAGCCTAGGCAACAGAGCAAGACTCTGTCTCAAAAAAAAAAAAAAAAAAGAAAAGAAAAGAAAAGAAAAGAATAAAGTGTTGCTGCCTTAAATTATGAAAGAATCAAGTATTAAAAATTTTCTTGTAAATTTTGCATCCATAAATTTTCTATAAATCCATTCTAATTGAGTCCCTAACTCTCCATCTTCCTTCTTCGGTATAGAGAAATAATTTGATTATTTACATCGAGGCCTACTTCAAGTTACCTGAATAAGGTGAACCAGAGACACAGTTTAAGAAAAGTTTGGGCCGGGTGCAGTGCCTCATGCCAGTAATCCCAGCACTTTGGGAGGTTGAGGCGGGTGGATCACCTGAGGTCAAGAGTTTGAGAGCAGCCTGGCCAATATGGTGAAACCCCATCTCTACTAAAAATGCAAAATTAGCCAGGTGTGGTGGCACATGCCTGTGATCCTAGCTACTTGGGAGGCTGAGGCAGGAGAATCGTTTGAACCTGGGAGGCAGAGGTTGCAGCGAGCCAAGATCATGCCATTGCACTCCAGCCTGGGCAACAAGAGTGAAACTCTATCTCAAAAATAAAAAAGAAAGAAAAAGAAAAACAAAAGTTTGGCCTGGCGCCGTGGCTTGTGCCTGTGATCCTAGCACTTTGGGAGGCCAAGGTAGGCGGACTGCTTGAGGCCAGGAGTTTGAGACCAGCCTGGCCAACATGGTAAAATCCTGTCTCTACTAAAAGAACAAAAATTAGCTGAGCCTGGTGGCACACGCCTGTAATCCCAGATACTTGGGAGGCTGAGGCACAAGAATTGCTTGAACCTAGGAGGTGGGGGTTGCAGCGAGCCGAGATTGTACCACTGCACTCCAGCCTAGGCCTGGGAGACAGAGCAAGACTCTGTCTCAAAATGTAAAAATAATAAATAAATAAATAAAAGTTCTCCTGAGAATTATGCTGACATGCTGAGAGCCCCTAATGTTCTGTGATCTTCCATTTCCAAGTTATTTGAGGTGAGTGATAAAATATTGGAGATGACAGAGATGCTTGTCCTGTGAAATACTAAAAGTCGCTTAGTTTAAGCTCTGTAGGTCTTTGATCATCATCCAGTGGATATTAATATTTGGAAGATGAGGAGATTACTGCAAGACACATTGGCAAGCTAAGTGGGTGTCATGATCCTTTTCTTTGACATTGTTCTAAGAAGAACAGTGAATCCATGTAGTTATTTCCCTATTATCAGGCGAACTAAGAAAGAAGGTATTTGAATTTCACTCTAAATATGGAGTATTTCACATTACAAGGATTATCAAGCAAATGTTGAACTTGGAAGTGCAACTCTCTTATTTGACAATATGAGTACAAGTATTTGACAGTATGAGGATACTGAAACATGAGTCTTGGTATTCTTGCTGTCACGATTATATTGCAAAGCTTTGGGCAAGTTATAACCTCTTTGAGCCTGTTTTCTCATTTCAGTATCCTTATTCTTCCCTTCCCTAAAATCCAAATATATCCCTCTCCACTTTAATCACTCTTCATTGGTACCTGAAATCCCCACATTAGTCAACATGAGGTCAAGGCAATGGTTCCCTAATGCTGATCACTAGCAAAAGGTTCTTCTTTTGTGGGAAGGGTCAGTGTTTGTTTTCAGAATGTATGCATCTTACTCTTTTGGTGTTTGAAATGGCTTTCTTTCATGAAATAATGGAGTTACTAGTGGAAGTGATTTTAAATGTTCTAATTTGACAAATTAGGTGTTAGAAACCCCATGTTAGCCTTAAAGTCCTTAATATCTCAAATTCAGAAAACACCAGGGTATGATATTAGCAGTTACGGCAGTTACCTGGGTTACCTGGGAGAGGGAACAAATTACTCTTCCATTGGTATTAACATCTTCATATTTGCCTACCTGTCCTGCCTTGGCAACGCTCAGAATTCTTCAAATTTCCACTCTCAACAATGACTTCCACCTCATACTGTCTTCCCGGTACGAGCCCCGTGTCATCCATGACATACTGTGTTTCTTCCTTTCCCACAGTGATGTTGAGCAGCACCACAGAATCATTGAAGAGTAGGATCCGATACTGCTCCCAGTCTCCAGCAGGGGGCGACCAGCTCACTACAAGAGACCTCATCCTGCCATTATTGTTTGCCTCCAGGTTTGCAACTTTGTCTGGAACTAAACGGTGAAATGATGTCAAAAAGGAGATATTACAGACCAAAAGTAAGGATACTCATTTACTTTTCTTGGGCAGCAGTAGATAGGAGACACAATATCTGCAGTTCAAAACATTTCTATCCCCTCTTGATGTCTGTGGATTGCAAATGAGTGTTCTTTATTTCGGAGACATTTGACACACAAGAAATGTCCGCTAAAATCATTTTAGTGATATCAGTAATGTAATCTTCTGTTGTAGTGTTAATAATCTAGTGATATGTGGCATCCTTTGTAAGAGATATTGGATGTCGTGATCATGAGGCATTCCTTTCTTTCTTTTCCAACTAAAAAGATTAATGTTCTTGCAAGATTAAGTTCTTTTTTTTTTTTTTTTTTTTGCTTAAAAACATTCAAGGTCTCTCTATAATCTGCAGAATAAAATGTCAAGCCCTCTGCTTACATTTTTGGCTCTTTAAGTTCAGACCCCATATCCTTCCAGTCTTAACTGAGACTACTTTCTGAAGCCATCCTCTCTCCTTCCCTACCCTTTGGAAAGCTGGCTTCCGGTTGTATGTTCTGTAGACCTGCAAGTCTCCTGGGCCCTTCTGCCTCTGGGCCTTTGCTTATTTTGTCCCCTCCACCCCAAAAGCTCTTCCCTCTTTTCCCTCTTTGTCACAAACGTTACATTTTTTAGGTCCTTATTAAAGATCATTTCTATTTCCTCCAAGTTTTTTTTTTTTTTTTTTTTTGAGACAGGGTCACACTCTATTGCTAGGCTGGAGTGAAGTGATGCAATCATGGCTCAACCACAGGGCTCAAGCAATCCTCCCAGCTCAGCCTCCTGAGTAGCTAGGACCACAGGCACATGTCACCATGCCCAGCTAATTAATTTTTTTTTTTTTTTTGTAGAGACGAGGTCTCATTATGTTGCTGAGGTTGGTCTCAAACTCCTGGGCTCAAGCAACCCTCCACCTCAGCCTCCTAAAGTGCTGGGATTATAGCCATGAGCCACCGCACCCTGCTCCCATTTCCTCCAAGTTTTTACTGCTCTTATGAAAGAAAATTTTATCTTTCCTTTTTGACCATATATCTCTTACTTCAGATCTCTAATAGCAGAGAGAATGGACTCTGGAATCAAATAGCCTGGTTTAAATTCTAGCTCTACCACTTACTGGCTGGATGACTATGGACAAATTATTTGACCTCTTTGAATTATCTGTATAATGGTAATAAATAACAAGACATCTCTCACAGTTTTGTTGTGAGAACTAAATGAAATAATGGATATAAATTATTTAGTCAGTGCCTGATACATGCAAATATCAATACAGTCACTATTATTAAAATGTACTATTTTTATTTTTGTACATGTGTGTATTCCACATCTGTGTGATTAAAATGAAAGTTTTCTAAAGCAGGAGTTGGACAATTTTTTCTGTAAGGATCAGGTAGTAAATATTTCAGGTTTTGCAGGACACATATGGTCTCTGTCTCATCTTTTTCTTGTTTGTTTCCTTATTTGTTTGTACAACCCTTTAAACATGTAAAAACCACTCTTAGCTTGAGGGCTAAACAAAATCAGGCCACAGACCAGATTTGGCACCAGATGGGGTAGTCTGCTGGATCCTGCCTTAAAGGCAAGTAGCATGTCTTAGTCGTTTTAACAATAGTACAGTAATTTACATATATAAGGCACTGGATAGATAAGTGAGGACATAAATTAATAAAATAATGTATGGAAAACATGGTTAAATGCTAACTGGTTCTCACTGTAAGAATGAATCAGAAATGTTTTATATACTGGTATCAATGCTAATGCATTTATGCTACTTAAGTGACGTGACATGAAAAAGCATAAGACAGAAACAACATGCAGATCATTCAGAAATCCAAACTCAGTTGCCTAAGTGACTCAGAAGAATGGGCCATACTACAGACACCTTCAGTTACATAGGCTCCACTTCTCAGATTGGGAAAGGAGTTTTCCTGCTGACTTATTTTGTCCTATTTTAAGGTGGATCAGAGAGTGATTTGAGCAACCAAGGAACATTCTGGAGCCCAAGACTCACATGTTCTGCCCACTGCCATCTTCTGAGCAGACAGTTCACCAGAGACACAGCTGACAGTAACTTGATAAAGTCGACCGGGGACTAACTCTTTAAAGTGAGTTTCAGTAATCCAAGGTGCTAATACTCTGGATTCCTTGATGGTCCCTTTGTGAGACAGGGTGATATTGTAAGAATCCACATTTCCAGGAGGTCTTTGCCATTTGACTTTTAGAGAGGTCAAACTGCCATCATTTGTCACCTTCAGATTTGAGACTTCCATGGGGGCTAATCAGGAAAGAACAGAAAGGAGACTTTTACTCAGGATCTCTCACAAGTCCTATGGCCAAATTTTGACCTGTAATTTTATTTCTGCAAGCCACATTCCTTGCTCTGGAGAAAACAAGCACTTCAAGAGGCAAATATTATCCTCTTCAGATGGTGAAAAAATAAAAATAAAAAAAGGTTTTAAAGAGGCAAAAAGTAATGTTGTAAAACCAAAGGTAGGCTATATGCCTAGTGGCAAGGCCAAAACCTTGGCAGGCAGAAGCCTGGATTCTGGTTCAGACTGGGCCATTAGTCAGCTGGGAAACTCTGGACAGCTCTTTCTAGTTCACTGAGCCTTATGGTGTTTCTTATTGGCAAATGAGGCTAGGTCAAAGACCTACAATGGTCCTTTCCAGTTCAGAAATTCTTTAAGTGGAATGCACAAAAAGGTCTGCCATCTGCCTCATTTCTTATCGCCTTTATATATTAATATTCAATAATATTGAGTACATAGTAAATAGATCGATCAATTGATTGATTACAAAATTTTATGTGATAAAACTACTTTAATTTTTATATTAAATCATGATAAAGTTAATGAGTTGTGTTACTACTTCATCAGAGGAAAATGATTAAAAAGGAGATACCCTTTGGTGAATACTCTTTCTAGAATATAAATTAATGAAGCTTCCTTAACAGAATGGGCGGCCAGGAGCAGTGGCTCATGCCTGTAATCCCAACACTTTGGGAGGCCAAGGCGGGTGAATCACCTGAAGTCAGGAGTTCAAGACCAGCCTGGCCAACATGGTGAAACCCCATCTCTACGAAAAATACAAAAATTAGCTGTGCGTGGTGGCAGGTGCCTGCAATCTTAGCTACTCGGGAGGCTGAAGCAAGAGAATCACTTGAACCTGGGAGGCTGAGGTTGCAGTGAGCTGAGATCGCACCATTGCACTCCAGCCCAGCCAACAAGAGCAAAACTCTGTCTCAAAAAAAAAAAAAAAAAAAAAAAAAAAGAATGGGCACAGCACTCTGATTTTGCACAAGGCAGTCAGGAATGCAATTTGCTCTTGATGTACATAAATAACTTTTAAGATATATAGAACATTTTTGGCCAGGAATATCTACATATATTTGAGGTGTGTTATAAAAGGTATGTAAATGTACCGGTGTCCTCAAATATCTTTCCCACCAGCCTCCCATAGTTCCAGAAACTAATGTCTAAGGCACTACATATATTAGAGTTTCTCTTAAAATTAGATAACTTACCAAGAGAGGAGATTTAATTCACACATTAGACTTGCTAGAAGCATTAGATTCTACTAAAATGTAAGCGCTGTGAGGGCAAAGACTTTGTCTCTCTTGGATATTATATCAGCAATGCCCAGCATCTAGCTTACATTCAATAACTATTGGCTGAATGAATGAAAGTTTGTATAAATTACTCATTAATACTTAGCATAGATTCATTTATTAGTCTAGGGTAGGCTGTGGGAGTAGGTCCTGTGGTATTGGGTCCCAGGTCATATGGTTAGATAGAAAATTTTGGAAATGACTGTCACACAGGAGTAGGGTATGTATAGCATGGAGAAAGTAACTCTGGTTCACTGTGAGTGATGTCATAAAGACAGCAGTTGCCTGTTTAAGAAAAGGAAGTAGGAATCCTTAGCAAGGAGATAGAGTATTAAAAAGAGAAGAAGAGAAGCTAGGTCCATATCAGTAATTAACTTTGCCTACTTCAAAATGTTGCCAAGGGCTAGCCTAAACTTTAGAATAAAAGAGAATCCTTCTTTTTCTGAGTAGAAAAGTGGATATGGGTCTTCTATACCTTATAAGAATTTCAATTTGTCCTATATTACAGTTATTCATATAATAAACTTGACTTATTAAACATTCCCTTGATTTCACTTTATTCTTCTTCAGCTAGCTAGGGGGAACTTACCTGTCCTGACTAGTTTCCACCTGTAGTTTTGCAGCCCTGCAGCCTCAGTCATAACAGTGAGGTTGTAGAGGTAGCCAGGGGTCAGCCCGTGAAAAGCATAGGAAGTAGCATGTTTGTCCACAACACCGCCATGAACTAGGATCCCTTTATCCATTAGCATCAGCCGGTATCGTTCCACATTCCCAGAACCATGGGACCAGGAAATCAGGAGAGAATTGGCTTTTGTGGAAATACCAATATCTTTCACTGGAGATGGCACTAGTGGGATAAAATGCATGTCCAAATGTCATTAATAATTCCCTTATAGGAGACATAGACACATTTAATTAGAAGTCACATATTCATTTGTGTTCCTCTGTACATCTTAACTTGATAATAGCATTAGTAAATAACAGGATTCTGGAAATTTCACTGGAACTTTGATTAGTGCTCTTTTCAAAGTCTGCAGCCTCAAGTTACATCATAATTTACTTGTCTGCCTCCCCCACTTAATAGGTATTAAGGTGGCTTTTGCCAGTGAAGTATATAACATTGCACAGCAGTAAGTAGAAGAGAGAAAGGAAAGAACTATAGAAGATGAAAAATGGAGAGGAAGATTTAAAAAAGAGAGGGAAAATGTGGCACATATACACCATGGAATACTAGGCAGCCATAAAAAAGGACGAGTTCATGTCCTTTGCAGGGACATGGATGAAGCTGGAAACCATCATTTTCAGCAAACTAACACAGGAACAGAAAACCAAACACTGCATGTTCTCACTCATAAGTGGGAGCTGAACAATGAGAACACATGGACACAGGGAGGGGAACATCACACACGGGGACCTGTTGGGGGGTGAGGGGGATAAGGAAGGGATAGCATTAGGAAAAATATCTAATGTAGATGATGGGTTGATGGGTGCAGCAAACCACCATGGCACGTGTATACCTATGTAACAAACCTGCATGTTCTGCACATGTATCCCAGAACTTAAAGTATAAATATCCCAGAACTTAAAGTATAATAAAAAAATTTAAGAAGAGAGAAAATGAGGGGAGAGCAAATGACATGAAAGACATGTACTTTATGGAAGGAGGTAGTGATGTGCCATGTATATCATAATATGTGGGTGCACAGATGCCTTATTTTTCACCACATTGGAGAAACAAAGACTTGTTTCAAACATAGGAATAGTTAGGAAACATTATGACTTGATGTTATGAGAAGAGTATACAAAGAATAAAAACATCTAAAAAATAAGTTTTATGGCACAAACTTAGAAAATGGGGCAGAAAGTCTTGTTGCTTTGGATTTGAGTTAGAAGGGCCATTAGGGAGTATCCATTCCAAGTTGGAGAAAACTCCAATTCCACAGAAGTCCCATGACTTCTTCAAAACCACTCAACAAGTTACCAGCATAGCCACGCATCCTATTTTCAGTCCAGTCTGTCCACTGTATCCCACAAGCTCCTTTTAAAAATTTAACTAATTGCTAATTAATTAACTTTGCTCTGGAGTAGCAATCTTACTCCTATTCCTTGAATAAAGTATAACTTGAAAAGTATCCTATTAACTACTCAGCTATAAAATAAACAGGTCTTACCTGTTGATCCATTGGTATAAACTGAAAAAGAACGTTTTCCTCCAGAAACAGCTGTGATGGCAATATTGTATTTACTACCAGCAGTGAGATTGAAAAAAGTGTATTCATTCCATGAAGTACTTTCTTGAATTTGAACCCCCTGTATCTTTTGGTTATTTTCATCAAATAATTGCACCTCATATGAGGTGACTTTTCCGGAAGAAGGAGTCCACCAAACATGCAAGCTGGTTGAAGTCGTCTTCTCTTTACTGACTCCAAACCTAGCAGGAGGTAAAGGATCTGCAAGGCAAATACACACACACACACAAAAAAAAAAAAGAAAGAAAAAGAAAAAAAAAGAACATGGCTTGAAGACTTTTGCAAATAACTGCTTATTTTACTGCAGTCCAGGTTCATTTTTCTCAAAAATCTGTTATTTGTGAAATAAATTGCCATTTTGCTTCACTTCCAAACCTACCCTTTCACTTTCTTAAAAAAAAAAAAACCCATTTAGCTACTAGTCATATGAATTCCTTTTTCTACTGAAACTTTTTTTGTTGTTGTTAAGGTAGCTCTGATCTTGAAAGTCCAAGCAAAGTTATATTTTCTTTGGCTTGCAGTTTAGCAACTTTTTCAAACATTGACAAACATCCAGGTTATGCCTGGATAAATACTGAAGATCTCAACAGAAAATCTAGATATTAAGAAATAATTTGAAATATACACTGAACTTCTTCCTAGGTTGTAGATTGTTGGTGTCTAGTATATGTAACTTTGGGTGGTTTTTAGATATTAGACAACCACAAAAGATACACATCTGATTATAAACCTAGGATAGGGTTGCTTACCAAAATGGATTCTCCCAGTAGCTGGGATTCCCTATATCCCTAGATTTTTTTTTTTTTTTAAGATGGAGTCTCGCTCTTGTCACACAGGCTGGAGTGCAGTGGCGTGATCTCGGCTCACTGCAACCTCCGCCTCCCGGGTTCAAGCAATTCTTCTGCCTCAGTTTCCCGAGTAGCTGGGATTACAGGCACACGCCACTGTGTCCGGTGAATTTTTTTTTGTATTTTTAGTAGAGACAGGGTTTCACCATGTTGGCCAGGCTGGTCTCAAACTCCTGACTTCAGGTGATCTGCCCGCCTCAGCTTCCCAAGGTGCTGGGATTACAGGCATGAGCCACCGCATCTGGCCCCCTATATCCCTAGGTTTTTAAAATCTCAATTTTGGGGCACTTTGGTGCTGCCAGAGCACCCAGAGTAAGTGGGAATGGGCAAATCTTGCACCCAGCTGTTCACCTTATTTCAACTCTCAAAGCCAAGGATCAGTTTGAGAAGTCCTGCTTTGCCTATGTTGAATCTCCACCATTGAACTTGAATAGAATAAAAAGCATATCAGGATTAGGAACTAAGTCAATGATATTTAGTGAGCAGCCATTCTTTTGGTACAGTGGGGAGTAAAGTCTAAGAAATAAGGGGCTGCCCCTACCCTGAGTGCTGAGAGTAGAACTATTGAGAGACCTCTTTATGAGAAATTTTCAGAAATCCAACATGGTTCTTGGTCTAGAAAGTGGGATCAAGATATTGGAGACCAATATTGAAGGGTCAGGTCAGATATTATAATGGCATGGCTATAGAAACTTCACTACTTCCTGGTAGACTATATTGTGTTCACAATATAACACCAGGAATTCTAGACCTTATTAGAAGATATAACCTTCTTATATGTTTTAAGATGATATTCACTTGTAATTTACATATAAAAGAAATAAGATAGCCTTACTCTATATTCAAAAGGCAGTTATAAACAGACAACTCATAAGACTATGTATGGCTGACCAATAGACACCATAGGCTTAATAGAGCCTATGAAATCTAATGTTTCTATGTTTTATGCTATGATTTATGCTAAGTACATCATATTGCAAAATTATATATGCCACATTTATAACATCAATAATTAATAATAACATAAATGTTAGCTGACAAGCAAGCTGAGGCAGCAGTAACTATGACAAAAATTAACAGAGTGCCCGAAACACAGGTGAGCTTGGAAGACAAGGTTGCATGGTTCACACCACAGCACAGCCCTTTGGTTCACCTGAAGAACATATGTTCTAGGGTTTGACAGCCCGGGCTTGAATTGGGCTCTCCTATTTGTAGCTGTGTGCTTTGGGCAATTCCTTAACCTCCCTGTGCCTCAGTTTCCTCATTTATGCAATCCTGATAATAATATCTTTTTAGTAGAATTGTTATGAAGATTACATTGAATATTATATAAAAAGTAGTTAGAACTGTATCTGGCACGTAGTAAGTACTCAGTGTTAGCTGTTATTATTTTTATTATTCCTATAATTAGGTGAAAATATTGCCACAGAAGCAGTGAAATGTAATGGCAGACAGCATGGGCTTTGGAGTCAGAATTAAATTTAAATCTCAGCTCTAACAAAGTCATGAGACTTTGGGCAAGCTATTTAACCTGTCTAAGCCTCCACTTTCCTATCTGGGGAGTATAATAATAATACTTATATTCCAAGGCAGTTTTGAAAAGTAACAAGATATAGAGGAGTCTATGAGATTCTAATAGCCAGTGAAACTCAAGAACAATGCTGTCGTACCCAATTGAGATGACATACTTTTGCTGAAGTGGCATTTTAAGGACAAGGATGAGAGGGACAGCTGCTTCCAGTGATAGTTCAAAAGGGATCAATACTATCATCTACATGTACTATCAAGCCAGATAAAAATTTTAAAAAATAATGTCATGATCAGTAGAATCCAAACATATATAATCCACAAAATATGAGATATAGAAATAAATTTTAAGGTTGCGTGTCTAGAGGGTGAAGTTCAGAAATGCAGACTTTATCTAATCTTTCTGAGCCAGAAAACAAAACAGTCAATCCTTTGTACATCCGCTAGAACAAAGGAACAATGAGACTGGGAAGTGCCTGGGCTGCGAGAACCTGCACTGGAAACAAACACTTAAAACCCCATTTATACTGTGATAAAGCCCTTTGCTGGCAGTTGTCCACTATTGCTATGCATGCTGCAGAAACTAAATAGTTTTCAGACTCCCTTTAAATCTAAGCCCAATAAAAACTCTGATGGATTTAAAAAGTTTTCAAAATTTTATTAGATACTTCTATCAGGGGTGCACATTTCATATAATATGACTGTGTGTGTATGTATTAAATATATGTATATAGATATATATATGGAGAAAGAGAAAATTTTTAATGCTACTTGAAAATTTAGTCATGTACCTATAGTCTTCTGATCATATGACAGATCGTACATAATTAGGAAATCCTACTTGACTTATATAATTTATGTGAATGGTTAAAGGTATCAATGCACAGATGTGTGCATTTATAGCCTCTGGTTTTTCCAATCATCACACTCATACGCATAGTAACCAGTGAAGTATTATAAAATATGAGAACTAATAATAAATCAAATCAAAAAATAATAAATCAAAGCTTTAGTCTTGATTAATATATCAATATTTATCATTAGCCATAAATTTAGAGCACTTTGTAATTCTTGGTTCCCAACAGACCTGAAATATGGAATGACAAATGCATAGTCAAAATGAATAACAACAGTAAGTTCTATAATATTCATTGTATATACTTGAATAAATCTACCAGCACCAGAAAGCCCCAGAGTTCCATAAGCAGGCTTGACGTCAACACAATTTTTCTTTTCTCAAAAGAAAAGACAAAGTATGGCAAAATTCCTGAACCAAAATGAATTCTTTTTTCCTTTTCTTTTTTTTAAATGTGACTTAGGAAGCCAAGTGTGATGATGTGTGCCCTTAGTTCCAGTTACTCAGGAGGCTGAGGCAGGAGGGTTGCTTGGGTCCAGGTATTGGAGGCTATAGTGCATCATAATAGTGCCTGTGAATAGCTACTGCACTTCAGCCTGGGCAACATAGAAAGACCCTGTTTTTTTTTTTTTTTTAATGTTATTTAGAAAGAGAAAGAAAGCTATATTTATAGCACAAATGATATTTGCTTCTTAATTGTTTTTGTGACAGCATGGTCATTAAAACATTAGTATTTATTGATATAGAAATGTCTAGACTCTTTAGAATTAGAAGTGATTGTATTTGCTATAGAAATAAATTCAACCTTATAACAAAAAGGGCAGCCAATCCATGAGTTGGTGCCAAAAGCTTTTCTTAAAGGCACGACAGCACCACATTACATCTGTATAGGACCTGATAATCTACAACATGCTTTCTCAGTTGGAATAGGGGCTCAGAGACATTAAATGACTCACTCGTGTTGTATAGGAACAGGTAGTAAAGTTGAGCTTCCAATACCTGTCTCTAAATCCTGTTTTCTCTCTATCACACCTTAGCTGTCCTAGTGTGGGAAATGATGTCATGAATTGCATATTCAGTGTAATGACAAAAAATAAAAATAGATGTCTACGGAAAATGATAGGCATATTTATAGAATTTTTCAGATGTTGGTTTGCTACTGTAGCATAGTCAAAATGAGTAACAACAGTAGTAACAGCTAAATCTAATTCTGTGAGCATGAAAGTTCCCTTTTCGAAAATAATATTTTTCTTGCCTGTTCCCTTTTTTCCTTATTTTATTGCCTTTACCTGGAGTCCCTTCATTTTGTGTTGGATTACTTTGAAAGCCTTCTAAGTGTCTTCCTTATTTTCTTTTGAGACAGGGCCTTGCTCTGTCACCCGGGCTGGAGTCCAGTGACGTGATCATGGCTCACTGCAGTCTCAACCTCCTGGGCTCAAGTGATTCTCCCACCTCAGCCTCATGAGTAGCCAGGACCACAGGTGCACACCACCATGCCCAGCTAATTTTTGTATTTTCTTTTTTTTTTGAGATGGAGTCTAGCTCTGTCGCTGAGGCTGGAGTGCAGTGGCATGATCTCGGCTCACTGCAACCTCCGCCTCCTGGGTTCAAGCGATTCTCCTGCCTCAGCCTCCTGAGTAGCTGGGATTACAGGCGCCTGCCACCACGCCCAGCTAATTTTTATATTTTTAGTAGAGATAGGGTTTCATTGTGTTGGCCAGGCTGGTCTCGAACTCCTGACCTCGTGATCCACCCGCCTTGGACTCCCAAAGTGCTGGGATTACAAGCATGAGCTAGCGTGCCCAGCCTAATTTTTGTATTATTTTGTAGAGATAGGGTTTCGCCATGTTGCCCCAGCTGGTCTCAAACTCCTGAGCTCACATGATCCTCCCACCTTAGCCTCCCAAAGTGCTGGGATTGCATGCGAACCACCACGCCCCGCCTCTTCCTTATTTTCCGTCTTTCCTCCATGATTGCCAAATAATCTCTTTGTACATCTGCCCCATCTGTCATCTTCATTCCCCTTGAAGCATCAAAAACTTTTCATGAGTTTCTATTTCAGGATAAAGTCTAAGTTTCTTTCTAGGCACTTGAGTTCTTCTCAAACTGGATTTTATCCCTGCCTCCCAACCAAACAACAGCATCTTTACAGAAATTGGGATACCAATCTAGTAACAAGCAGAGTGGTGAGGAGACTTGATTGGAACTGCATTTATGTAGCATTTTATGTAAAATGGAGTAAACATCCACTATTCATATGAAATAATTGGAGGATTACTTGTAAAAATCAGGGTGGGATGGGGCAAAAAACCAAACCATCCTTTGGTGCAGGTTTTTGAAAATGAGAAGAAAAACAAAACGGAAAAGAATTGTGCACAACCTCCAGTTAATTAAATACATTTCTAGAGAGGTAATTTCTTTTTTTCTTTTTTCTTTTTTTTTTTTTTTTTTTGAGATGGAGTCTCACTCTGTCACCCAGGCTGGAGTGCAGTGGCATGATCTTGGCTCACTGCAAGCTCCGCCTCCCAGGTCCTGCCATTCCCCTGCCTCAGCCTCCCGAGTAGCTGGGACTACAGGCGCCCGCCACCACGCCCGGCTAAGTTTTTTTTTTGTATTTTTAGTAGAGACGGGGTTTCACCGTGTTAGCCAGGATGGTCTTGATCTCCTGATGTTGTGATCTGCCCACCTCGGCCTCCCAAAGTGCTGGGATTACAGGCGTGAGCCACCGCATCTAGCTGAGAGATAATTTCTTTTACTTTGTTATTATTGCTGTTTGACAATAGTCAGTTTTCTGGCTTACTTTAAAGATGATGCATTAAATTATGCTAATACATCAGGTTGCTGTGCATTTAATGTAACATCTGTATACACTAGATCTAAAATTAGAAGCTCACTTTTAGTGAATATTAGAGAACCATGTCAGCACTGAGGGCACCCAGACAACTTAACAAGACTAATGCACCCTCATCCCCATGATATTCTTCAGTAGTTCCAGCCCAATTATTTAATATCAATAACTGAGGCTTTTTCAATATTATCTAAAATGCTGTATAAATGCAATATACAGAGAAGTCCCCTGGACCCCTCTTCTAATCAGATTGCTGTCCAAAAGCCTTCTTATGTAGAAATTCATGAGCTGTCACTTGATATGTACTTCTAAACCTGGACATCTAGGCATTAAGGCATTATTGTTAATGTTAGATGTGATAATTATATTGTGGTTATTACTCAGAGATGTAGACTGAAATATTTACAAGTGAAATGAAATAATCACGACTTGGATTGTATCAAAATGATGTGCAGTGGGGGAGTGGGTGGGGATATAGATGAAACAAGGTTGGCCATAAATTGGTAATTATTGAAGGAAGGTGATGAGTACATGGTAGTTCATTATACTATCCTTTTTTACCCTTTTAGGTACTGAGTTTTTCCATATAAAAGGAAGAAAACACAATATCAAAAACAAAAATCCCTGCAAACCTAGATATATACTTACTGTGTTCATTTTAGTTTCATATTATATGTTTAGGGGTATATGCATCTTAATTTATACACATTCATACATATAGAATGGGATTTGTTTCTCCTACCAGGTCAGAAAAATCTAATATTATCTTTTATTCCCAGGGGGATTCCAGCAAACTGGCATCTAGGAATGGAAGGCAAACAGTTTTCCTTTGTTTTTTTTTTGTTTGTTTTTTTCATTCTGTCCAGACAAATTAGATTTTATTTCTTCCTAGCTAATGTGTAAAGTGCCATGCCTACCAACAGAAGTCAGACTAATAGAGAAATATTTCTAGGCACATAAAGGAAGACCAATTTCAGAGAACTGGGCTGGTTCATTCCATATAGGTAGCTCAGCTTGACCTTAAAATTCCTGAAATAAATGAACTGTAAATGGCTGATTACAAAATACTGAAGTCATCACCAAAAGTTCAACACAATCAGAGATCAATAGTGACTCGCAATTGCTTCACACTAAAACATATTTAACCATTATTCTATTTTTGTGTATGCTAAGTATATATATATTTAAAAGATTTTATAAGATATTTGGTCCTCTTTAAAAGGACTTGACTTTGAAAAATAATAAAATAACACGTGGTAATTTGAAAAAGCTAATGCCAACTTAAAAATAATATACTTTTCGCAGAGTAGTGGAAAGAATACTGGAGTTGGAGCCAGTAAACCAGAGTTCAAGTTCTGACTCTATTGTATGTTAGCTGTGTGAATTCGTAAACATTGTCAGTTAATTCTTATGAAGACCAATCTCATCTCCAACCTGGAAGTAATAATAGGAAACTCACTACACACTTCATATGTGACAAAAGCTTTTCTAGATTTGATGTATGAACCAATGAAAACCTCATAACAACCCCATGAGTTATTGTTATACTATCCCCATTTTGTAGGTTTGGAAACAGACCTGGAAGTGTTAAATAACTTGCCCAAAATAACGTGGCTAGTAAGCGGTAGAGGCAGTCTACCTTCAAAACTCAACTCTTAGTCTCTATGCAAACTGCCCTTTCACAATACCCCCTCCACAGGGTTGCCATGAGAATAAAATTAGGCTATAGATGGTCAGTATAATATGTATTTCATACTGTTACCAATTAAACATAATATGTGGTAGTCTTTTATATGCTATAAAAGCACAAAACAGGCTGGCCACAGAGGCTCAAAACCAGCCTGAGCAACATAGGGAGACCCCATCTCTACAAATAATTTAAAAAACTAGCTGGGTGTGGTATTGGGTACCTGTAGTCCCAGCCACTCAGGAGGCTGAGGCAGGAGAATTGCCTGAGCCTGGGAGGTCAAGGCTGCAGTGAGCTGTGATTGTGCCACTGCACTCCAGCCTGGGTAACAGAGCAAGATCCTGTCTGAAAAAAATTAAAAAAATAAAATAAAATTTTAAAGAAGCACAAAACAAATACTAGAGTACTCTTCTCTTCCTGGGAAAGATAATAAATACTCCTAGGCATTATAGATTTGATCATGCATTAAGAAGAATTGTATCAAAATCTTAATGCCAACAAATAATAGAAAAATTATGTCAATAGTTCTTAAACTTGTGTGCATCGATTCACTCTGATATTTGTTTAAAATGCAGATTCCCTCAGCTCTATTCCTTCTAAATTCTAATTCTTTCCATGTGGGGTAGAAACCAAGAATATGTTTTCATAACCAGCTCTGCAAGATATTTCGATGCAGGTAACCTACAGATATTAAGAAATGATGGCTTATGTTTAAAACTATAGAAGTATTAGGGGATGAATTGTGTCCCCACCAAATTTATATGTTGAAACCCTAAACCCCAGTACCTCAGTATGTGGAGATACGGCCTTTAAAGAGGTGATTAAGTTAAAATGGGGCCATTAGAGCGGGCCCTAAGCCAATATGACTGGTGTTCTTATGAGAAGACATTAACAGACAGACAACAGAAACAGAGGTACCACTATATGAGGACATGCAAAAAGGTGCCATTTGCAGGCCAAGGAGAGGCCTCAGAAGAAACTAAACCTGCAGACACCTTCGCCTTGGACTTCTAGCCTCCAGGATTGTGAGAAAATAAATTTCTGTTGTTTAAGCCACCTAGAGTCAGGGGTATTTTGTTAAGACACTCCTAGTAAACCAATACAATAAGAAGTGGAAATAATAGCTGATATGGTGATTCAACAATTAACGTTCCTAAAATGTTTTTTATTAAAGACAAGTTAGCCATATTAAAATAATTAAAATCATTTGAGAGGTTTTGTTTTTTATTTTTCTAGGCTGACTAATAAGTAGCTGAAACTGACTTAACAAGAGGGAAAATGCTTTTAAAATATTATTTCTACAGGTAAAGTTATCTACCACTACAACTCTTCCCTGGGCTCTGTAATCTACCCATAATCCAATGAGAATAGAATATATTTTTAGTATATGTACATTCTCTCACTAAAATATTAATTTCATTCATTCACATCTACATGCTTATCTGTATCTATATATTGGTCTATCTATCTCTTCTACTCATCATCCGTGCCCAGATCCACCATTCATCCATCTTTCCATTCATCCATCTATCCATCCATTTAATCAGTATTTACGGAACACCTACCATGTATTAGATGCCATTTAAGTACTGAAAACCTACTTCTTATTGCCAGACAAATAAATGCTCCCTAAAATTTTCAAATGAAAACCACAAAGTAGAAGTCACAAATTCAAATGTCTTTAGAATGCATTCAGGTAAGGAAATGAATGAAGTGGTATTCCAGTGAGTTGGTATCTAAAAGGAGAAGACACAAGTCAGCTCTAGAGAGTTTTAGGCACAGTTTTGCCAAATCTTCCAAAATTTTAAGAGAATCCATACATTTGGGTTTTAATGTGAATTTTTGATTTTTAATGCTGGTGAAATGATCTGGATGTTTTCACAAACACTACATGAGCCAAACACAACATAGTTATTATTTAGACACCTAGCTATCTCTAGAGGCTACCAGTTTGCAACCTCTGCTCTAGACTCTGAGTACAGTCTTCAAAAGTGCCAAGTTTAAGAAGAGCTCTACAAGAAGTGAAAAAAAAATGCCAACTTATTCCATATCTGGTATGTTCATTGTCTGATTTCTGGTGAGTTCACACTAAATACTTTGGCTTTCAAAGGATATTCTTGTTGCGTTGACCGTTTAATGACCAAGTAAACCTGAGAATTGCCAAATATCTTGTCCTCTATGGTTATGAAAGCATGGCATACATGAGGCAGAGTAAAGTCCTCATCCAGAAAAGATGAGATAAAGCTCTGTTGCCACTTTCATCATAACCGTCTCTCACCTCTGCACGAGACAACAAGGTCAGGAACCACTTTTTGTTAGTCATCTTTATAAGCTTACTAATCACTACCTGGCATAGTTCCCAACAGTATTATGTTTGATACATGTGCACTGAACTGGGTTTAAATCCATTATGTTCTTCGATTCTGATTTTAAATCTGGAATGGAAAATGACTATTGCTGAAATATTGCCCATTTAATTCAATTTTTTTATCCTTAAGGTCGTGTCTATATGACATGAAAATAATGAGCTATTTTAGACAGTTTATCAGGAAAAATAATCAGGCCAGTCACATTTGGAATGATATAGAGATCATCTAAGCAACAACTATATTTCTATCCAAATCATGTCTTGCTCTCATTCTATTTTGTTTTAGACTGATAAGACAGGCATAATAGAATAAAGAAAGCACAGATATTTTCAATTACTTTTTTGTTTGAAGTTTGTCTGAGTTTGAATATTATACTAGTTGGCATTGCTTTAATAACAGTAAAATATGATTTATGCATCTCATCTCTATAGCTCAGCAATTAACATAGGGGAATACTAGTACTTTGTATTAACTAAGTGAACAATTCACATATGTCCTTAAAATGTAGAAAGAACTACTGACAAATAAATAACAACCGACTAAAAAATTCCTCCCTGAAACAATTTTTAAAATATCTTATTTAAAAAAGTAATTTAAATCTAAACAACCATCATACAAATACATGTGGGAAATTTATCATTATGCAAATACCACCTGCAACTTTCATGCTTCACATTTATCATGCAGCTCATAATATTTGTAGACAAGTAAAGTGTGTCTCTTTAAGAAAAATGGTGAGAACCCTGAATGCTAGCACATTGTGGATGCTGATGAAGTCTTGTTTCACTCAACATGGTCAATAAAATGCAAGTATTTCTTACATTTCAGAAATGCCTCTGGACTTGAATACCTACTTGCATAATTAAACTCAAAGCCTATTCTAACTAATTACACCCACAGTAAGTCCTTTTCCATTACTGTTTTTCCAAAAAGTAAATCCTCTGGTTTAAACAACCATATTCTGGCTTCTTAAAGGTCTTAATCTTTTCTCCAACAAACTTCTGAAAGCTCAGCCTGCTTTTACAAATTGCTCTGCTCCACTGAACACATACACTAGTTGGCCAGATGCCTTTCTAAACACAATTAACACATCTGTAAGTTCTATGTTATGTATTTCACAGTATTAGCAATATGAGTATTTATAAGAACTATCCTGTAATATTAAGAAACCAACAACATTTGGACTAAAAACCCAGCCTTTCAACTTTTGTAAAATGTTCTAATTATGTGGTCTATTTCAGGCTCTCTGATTCCATATTAGAAACCACCAGATTCATTTTCCTTTTCTTTTTTTTTTTTTTTTTGAGACAGAGTCTCCTCTGTTGCCCAGGCTGGAGTGCAGTGGCACAATCTGGCTTCTCTGCCTCCTGGGCTCAAGCAATTCTCTGCCTCAGCCTCCCAAGTAGCTGGGATTACAGGCGCCCGCCACCACACCAGGCGAATTTTTTATTTATTTATTTGTTTTATTTTTAGTAGAGACGAGGTTTTGCCATGTTGACCAAGGTGGTCTTGAACTCCTGACCTCATGATCCACCTGCCTCAGCCTCCCAAAGTGCTGCGATTACAGGTGTGAGCCACTGCGCCCAGTCAGAGAAACCACCAGATTCTTAACAAGCGATTTCTCTTTTCAACTTAAGATGCTGCAAATCTCAGATATCATCTAAAAGTTTCATCTGAAGTAAGTTAAGTGATGTAATTGGGCATTTTGATTTTTTTCTTTGAAAAAAAAAGATAATATCTAGTTGACTTACTACATGAGCCCAGTTAAATTCTCTGAAACTGCTGCACCTGCCTTTAGAGCTGAAAGTTCTCACACCTCTTTGAAGAACTGTAGCAAAAGAAATGATCCTGTTTCAGGTTGAAATGTGAAAGAATACTAAGGGCAACACATTTCTAAATTTGACTTTTAAAATTTTAACATAAATTTGAATCTCTGGATGAAGGTAAGGATACACTGTTGCAACAAATAGAGATAATGAAGACTAATGAAGTCAGAAAACCTGAAAATTGTTAAAGAATTTAGAGCATGTCTGAGGGTAGCTCTGAGGATTAAATGAGGTAATGTACATGACAGCCCATACCTAAGTGTTGAGCACTTGGTAAGAACTTGGACTTGAATGACCTAAGTCTAACACTCCCATTTTACAGATAAGAAAACTGAGGCAAGAAAGGCAAACTCTGAACATATCCACATGGAGGGATTCAGCAAAAGTGTAAGGAAAATAATTGCTGTAAAGTAATCAAAGGACGTTCTCTGATACTATGCTGTTTGGGTTATTACTCAAGAGATACAAAACAATTTTCATGTCCTCATTTCAAGAGACTTTTCTAATTTTCCCTGATGAATGGCTCCATTCTATTCCTGCAGATTTTATGTACAGTTCTAAAAATAAAACTAAGTTGAGGAAAGGCATACCCCTAATATTGTACTTCTATTATTTATTCTAAAAACGTTTACTTAAAATTATTCCAGGGTTTGACAATTTAATGCAATGGAAGCGTAAACCACATCACTTTAAAAAATTCCCACCGCAGCCCAAAGTTTCTCTTTGCTGACCGCCCTGCACCCCACCCCGACCCTTTCAGTAGCTAGTTGGCTGTTTTCAGCACTAAGGGAGTCTCTGAAAGTCCACCAAGCTGCTTCTGGCTAGATCCGAGGAAACCAGACATTTCTGTCAATATTTATCTTCACAGGTATTTTTACCTTCATTTTTTGTATCCCTGGAACTCAAATGAAACACCAGCTTGAAAAGGCAGGGCCCAACCCCGTGTGGCTTGGCCATCCAATTGCACCTGTCATCCTTTACCTGTTTGCAAGACCACTGTTCTCTCTTCATCCAGAGAAATAATCCTGAAGTTATAGATGGTTCCTGCTTGTAAATCTTGAAGGTTACATCCGTATGTGGTGTTGTCTATCCGAAAGGTAGGGCACAACGCGGCCCCCAGGGTGTCACTGCTATAGATGAGGCTAAAGTTACAGGGTGAGCCCAAAATTCTCCACTGGATAGACACAGAATGGCTGGAGGCCTTGGACTCCGCCAGGGTGAAGTTACATCTCTCTGGCTCCGCCAGTCCAGTCTGCAAAGGAATCAGACACAACAGTTTAAGTCCACAGTCTGGACTGCTCAGGGACATGTCCACAGCAAGCTCCTCAAGCCACACTTTCTCCTCTACTTATCCTTTGTCCCTTGCCTCAGCCAGTCCTTTTGCCCTCTGGCCAGAGAAGAGGCTTGCAGGGGAGGTGGATGGCAACTTTCTCCCTAGCTGCTGTCCCTTGAGAGCAGCTGGAGAGAGAAGGTGGCTTTTTGCTTTGACAGCTGGATAAGCTGTCATTCTGGGTTGGGGGGCTCACCAGAGGATCATTCTTCCCAAGGCAGAAGAAGAAATTTTGCCACCTCCCTCTTCAAAGCACAACCCGATAGACGAGAAAGTGGAGTGGGAATTTGGTTTTCGGCGGGGAGGGGGCGCATCAGCTCTGACCCCTTCTCGGGCCACTCACCTGCAGCAGGCTCAGTGTGATCCACAAGGCCAACCCGGCTCCATGGCTCAGCATTGCGCTCAGTAGTTAAGATCCAGAGGAGACCGAGGGGGCTGGACGTGGGACGGCCCGAGGGCCGGGGCAGGGGGTCACCTGTTGCGCGCGCTCAGCGCGCCCCGTGGGCGCAGCGCGCTTCCCTCGGGGCTGGCGACGCGCAGGGGCCACTGCGGCCACCGCTGCTGCTGCTGCTCCTGCCGCCCCGGGCGGGCTGCGGACGCGAGAGGCGGCGGGGACAGGCAGCGCGCCGCCCTTCCCACGCTGCCATTCTGACCCGCGCTGCCTCGCCCCAGCCCCGTCCGCTGACTTCCGCAATCAAAAGGCAATTTCCTCGTCTCCCGGCAAAGGAACAATGCGCCGGCGAGGGAGGGAGCCCCGAGGAGCCAACGCCTGAGCCTGCCAAGGGGCCCGATGTGGGCCAAGCTGCCCCCGCTGCCCCGCGCCGATACCTTCCCGGCCAGGGGTCCGGTCCGGCTCCGCGGGGCTCTGCCTCCTCCTCCTCCCGTACTCTCCCTTTTCCCCAGTCTGTGGTTCTCGACCCAGTCGCCTTAGCCACAATTAGTGCTTGCTCCCTGTCACTTTCCAGGCCCCCACCCCCGCCCCTTTCCTCCCTCCACACCCAGCGTCTCCCCCTCCCTATCTTCCTTCCTATCTTCCTCATCTGCTTTCTCCAGGACCACTTTTTCCCAGGATTAAACTTGACCGCAGCATATTTCCCCAGGTCGCCTGCACTCTTTCCTGAAGTCTTTTATTAGAGAGCTTTTGCCCTTCTCACTTCAAAGCATTCATTTGTCCCGGTGGCATCCCCTGACACTAGCAAGAGAAAAAGACCCCAAAAGGATTGTCAGCTTGACCATTCTTTTCTCCCAATCACTTTCCCTTTTCTCTTGTATAGGTTTGTATCCTCCCTAAATCTTATGTAAATAGCGCTAACGACAAATATAATCACTACCAAGTGTTCAACCCACAGCTAACAGTTTTATCATCCAGTAGTTAAAGCCATTTCATCCCTAATTGTCCAGCCAAAAGAAGACAGCCATGTAAACTCTCATTTGTGGAAACTACTGTTGATAGTCAGCTCTCCACAAGTTAAAAAAAAAATGGCATTTATTCAGCGTTCAGCCCTAACTGTATGCCCTTTAGCAACTGCTTCAGTACCCAAACGGTTATTTATCTGAAAACTGATTTTAGAAAAGCTCCCAATAACTAAAGAGCAAAAATATTTAATTGTACACAAGTGAGAAAAGCAAAATATTGCAACAAGTTTTATAATTTTTTATTGCTTTTTTGGAGCACCATCCCTAACAACTGCCAAAAGAAATGAAATTCCACATTCTAATTTTCAAATCAGCGGGAAGGATGGCATATTCCTTTCTTTTTCAAATAGGCTATACATAAAGCTATGTTATTGTCTACTATATCTACTGTGTCTACTTTGAGGAAAGTTAAAACAAGAAAAAAGAAAAAAGTGAAAATTGTTTCAATTCTATTTATTTATTTATTTATTTTTGAGTCAGAGTCTCACTCTGTCACCCAGGTTGGAGTACAGTGGTGCGATTTCAGCTCACTGCAACCTCTGCCTCCCGGGTTCAAGCAATTCTTAAGCCTCAGCCTTCCGTGTAGCTGGGATTACAGGCGTGTGCCACTACACCCAGCTAATTTTTTTTGTGTGTGTGTATTTTTAATAGAGACAGGGTTTCACCACGTTGACCAGGCTGGCCTTGAACTCCTGACCTCAAGTGATCGACCCGCCTTGGCCTCCCAAAGTGCTGGGATTACAGGCGTGTGCCACCGTGCCTGGCCTGCTTCAATTCTTTTAGAAAACATGCTTTTAAAAATACCTCTTAATGAAAAAACGAAGTTTCTTCCCCTCGAGAGATTCTACAGACTTTTAATCTACAGCCAGACCAGAGATTTCAAATCCTTTCAAGTTAACAAACACTCAAAGAAGGTCAAACCTAGAACATCTGTGTATTTCTGGGAACAAAAAAACTCCCTATTTCTCTGCCTAGGTCACCTGAAGAGTAAAGAACTTTTACTCTGTATTTTGTGCCCAAGTTCAGTGGCTCTTCACAGCCTGGCATACCTGTCAGCCTCATCAGTGGCAGGGGTCCCCTCCTGCTCTCCACAGATACTGCAAGCCTTCTTACAGGCTCTGGCTGCCCTCAGCCTTTATAGGAGCCTTTTCCCAGTTTTATTCCTTTGCAACATTATGTTTTTCTTCTCTTGCTGTATTTAGATAACAATGTACTTTCCTCAACTGTAACATTGGAATAATACCTACTCTAAATACACCACACAGCTATTATGAATAAATAATATCACAACTACATTAAACTACCTTTGCAAACTTTAATGTGCTAGCAGAACCTTAAGGCTGACAGCAGAGCTCCCAAATGATTAGTGAGTCCTAAATGACCCATAAACATGAGCATACTATGAAACAAGAGGAAGAGTTTAAACTCAGGCTTTTACCGATAACATTTTTCCTTTTAAAAGTACAAAACTTAACATGAGAAATCCAAGAAAACTGTAATATATTCAAGGAAGTATAGGACTGAAAAAAGCTTCCAGATATCATCTTTTCTATGAGGAGTTTATTTGAAACTACTGGACAAAGTATAAATAAATTGGTTCATTTTGGTTTTTGTTCTCATCTTTGTTTGGAATTCCTCAACTTCTCTTGAGCCTGCTTGTCCTACATAAGGACACTATTTGAATTAGAAGTTGCATTCCAGAAATTTGGAATCAGCCACTCTGTACCATTTCAGGGGACAAGCTTTCTTCCTTGCCACCAGGAAACCTTTCCCAGACTACATGGGAAGGGTGGGGCTGCTTTTGATTAAACATGAGTGAACAAGCAGCTGTCTTAAAAAAAAAAAGTCATAGCAATTTAAAAACATTAATTGGCCAGGTGCGGTGGCTCACACCTGTAATCATAGCACTTTGGGAGGCTGAGGCAGGTAGATCACTTGAGTCCAGGAGTTTGAGACCAGCCTGGATAACATGGAGAAACCCTGTCTCTACAAAAAATACAAAAATTAGCTGGATGCTGTGGTGCGTGCCTGTAATCCCAGCTACTCAGGAGGCTGCAGCAGGAGGATTGCTTAACCCCAGGACGCAGAGGTTGCCATAAGCCCAGATTGTGCCACTGCACTCCAGCCTCGGCAACAGAGTGAAAACCTTCTCTCAAAAAAAGTTATTAATTATGAGTTCATGGCTAAAAGTATGAATCTTGTCACATTATGAACATAGATGTTGAATAATACAATGGGTCATCAAGGGGTCTGGGAGCCACTGTTTGAGAACCGTTACTTTGGACAGGGGTTTGAACTGGACATGGGGATGAGGGGCAGTGGTGTTGGATGGATGAGGGGAGGGCAGAGTAGACTGGTTAGGTTAATCCACACTCCCATCACCCATGACCTAAAAGGTCATGGTCCTTACCCCGGCCCCTCATTACCTGGCCTCTGCCCATTTCTTTCCTCCCTCCTGCTTGCCTCCTATTCTCCACTTGCTTGGGTCTGATAATTCATTTACTTTCATTCAGCGAACACTGACTAGCCACCTATTGTGTGCCAGGCTCTGGTATAGGTTTTGGAGGCTCTGCTCCCCATCCCGTGCCTATGGAACTGACTTGCCCTAGAGCTCTTGTGCCTGTCATTTCCTCTTCTTCAGCCACTCCTCCCCAGGCTCTCTGTTTGGCAATCTTTCTCTCGTCCTTTAGGTTTCAGCTTCAGCACACCTCTAAGGGGCCAGTCCCTTTCTGACCTCACAAGGAAAAATTATGTCTTTATTATTCTTCATCTCAGTGGCCATTTAATTCAGAGCAATGACTTTTGGTAATAATCTAATCATTTATGTATTTGTGTGCTGTCTACCTTTCCCGGTCATATGGAGGATTCTGTTAGAGCAGAATCTTTGTCTGTCCTGCTCTTCTTGCACAGGGATTTTCATAGAGTCTCAACCAACATTTGCTGAATCTTCATGTCAGCTTAGTAAATATTGTTACATGAATAAATATCCTAAACAAGTCCTTCTAAACATGGTCCTGTTGGTCCTGCTGGACCATGTTTAGAATGAATGTTTAGAATCTTAAATACTATCCTGGAAGGGAAGAGGGGAAAGAGAAGAGAAAAAAGAGGGAAGAGCAAAGGAATGACAAAGAAGAAAAGATTCATTTTGAAGACAAAGAGAAAAAGGTGGGAAAAGTGAAGAGAGGGAAGATGAAAGGAGGAAAAGGAGAAGGAGGAGGGAGGCAGTACCCGTTAGAACAGTGGTTCTCAAAGTGTAGCTCTCAAATTATCGTCATCTGAGAACTTGCTAGAAATGTAAACTTACCAGCCTCACCACAGACCTAGGAATCAGAAATGCTGGGGATAGAGCTCAATAATGGAGCCCTCTGTATTTTAATAGGCCTTCCAGTACTAGTTCATGAGAAGGAGTTATTCAAATTCTGAACAAAGTCTCAGATTATACCCTAAACCCTGTACTTGATATCATTTTACATTCAGGAGAGTTAATGAGATCTTGGCTTTAATTTTTTTTTTAATAAATTTTACTGAGCTCTTTGCTTATAAGAAAACTACATAGATGACTTAGAAGAACAATTTTAGAATGTATTACTTAAGTGAATTGGTGACCTTTATAATATATAATATGCATATTTTGATATATATAACTTCTCATTAAAAATTAAGTGAGATCGCACCACTGCATTCCAGCCTGGGTGACAGAGTGAGACTCCATCTCAAAAACAAAAACAAACAAACAAAAAAAATTAACTGTGAATACTTAAGCAAAAAGGATCAACATGTAGCAAACTTAACACATGTTAGACATAAGGCCAGTTTGATACCTTTCCTCCTAGGAGGTAGTTTTGTTATGCAAACCTCAGGTATTTATTAGAAGAAAGCATAGCAATCAGGGAAATGTGTCAATTAAAAACAACTACAAGATGGCAAATCCTTTTCTGAGTTTTACTTCGAACCGGCTCAATAGTAAATTCTGGCAAAAGTGAATACAATTTTAACCTGCAGCAGGTGTGATGCATTAAAATGTAGAGAAATGTTACTTTGATAAGTAGTTTAAAGCCAAAAACCATGACCAGCCTATTTTGTGTTTAGAGAGACAGTCTGAGATACTTACTTTTCAAGGAATTTTTCTAGCTAAACTTCCTAGATCATAGGTCTCCAGGAAAATGGAAATAATAGAAGCATTAGGAGAGGGCGGTTGTAAGGATTAAATGAGAAGTTGCATGTCATATGTATAGTACAGTTCCTGTCTAAAGGGCTCAATAAATATTAAGTTCCATGATTATTAGTAATAATACTATTCTATGAATAACATTAAAATAAACAATGAATGCTGCGCAGTCGGTAAAATTAGAGAATGACAAAGTTCATGACTGAGAACTCATCTTTCTGAGAACATCCAAATGACCGTAAATTATCATTGCTTCCAATCTCGTACCTAAAATCATACCCAAGAAACTCTTCAGTAGATCAACACCCAAAGACATTTAACAGCTGCTCAGTCTGTTAGACCAGCCAAGATTTTTTTAAAATACTGCAAGGGAGGGGTGGGAGTGCCGGTTACGTCTCTAACAGCAGGCTCCACTGTCTCTCTAGAACACATCTCTAAGGTTTCCTGGTATTCTTTTTTCCCACACCCATTTATCAGCCTCTTCCCCTCCCCTACTTTTTATTTTGTTTTAATTTGAAGGAAATGGGCTTTACATAGCTTTTGTTATAGCTCTGTAACTACAAACAGCCAAATAATTTATAATCAGATGTGAGTGCAAGTGAGCCACTCTTCCAATCAGGCACTTCTGCTGCATCTTCTTTCACACCACAGTTCCTGCCACCCCACCCTTGGAAGGGAGTCTACTCCCAGATGAACCCAGTTGAGGCAGTAATGCTTGCAATGGGGCAGTCTATATGGGTGTAGCTGCTGTACGCTATGGATTTAGGAGCTAGCAAACATTTATTACCAAACCCTAGGATAGCAGACAAATAAAGCATGGCTTATGATAACATTGGCTTTAAAGAAAAGGAAATCAAAAACAGTCACCCACAGAAATTATGGGTGGAGGGAATAGGCTGCATATATCCTGAATTAAGTGTGCAATCTCAATAAAGTTATCAAATTCAGGAAATTCAAAATGGATATACTTAAATCCACAGTCTATATTTCAATTTTGTCAACGATCTCAATAATATCCTTTTTTTTGCTTGTTTTCTCTCTAGATCCAGCCCCAAGGATCCTGTATTGCATCTAATTGTCAGTGTCTTAATCTTCTTTTTAAATTTTTTAAATTATTTATTTTATAGAGATGGGATCTCCCCATGTTGCCCAGGCTAGTCTCAAACTCCTGGGCTCATGTGACCCTCCTGCCTCGGCCTCCCAAAGTGCTAGGATTACAGGTGTGAGCCACTGCACCCAGCCTCTTAATATTCTTTAATGTGGAACAATTCCTCAGTCTTTTAAAATGACCATTCTGACATTGGCCTTTTCGAATGATACAGGTTGGTTATTTCCATAGCATCTTCCTCCATCTGAATTTATCTGATGTCCTTGTGATTAGATTTAGGTTGTATATCCCCAACAACACTTCCTCCTTTTTCCTGCTTTAGAGTTTTTCTTAACAGGCTGATTATTCAGTTATTCTCCAATGGATTGCAAACCTGATTGCACATTAGAACCACTCTGGCAGATTTTCACACAATAGGTGCTGAGGTCCTACCTCAGTAAATCCTGATATAGGTCTGAGGTGGAATCTTAGAATATGTATCTTTCAAAAGCTTCCCAGGTGATTCCGATATATGTATAACCAATGGTAAGCACCACAAGCTTCCCCTCTCAATCAGCATGTCCTGGCTTCTCTTTTGATCTCATTTTGCTTTCCCATTGCCATTCTCTCTCCCCACTGTATCAACTTTCATCTAGGGTAGAACTCGTCTGCCCAGGGAGACCAATGTGGCAGAGAAATACTGTCATGTTAAAGGGCCCATTTCAATGCATGTGTTCTGTTCATGGTTGTATTTTATGTGCATATGATTATACAGTCATCCCTCAGTATGGGGGTGGATTGACTCCAGGACCCTTATGTATAACCAAATCTCCACATACTCAAGTAAAATAGTTGGCCTTGCAAAACCTGCATATACAAAAGTTGGTCCTCTGTATACCTGAGTTACAAATTCCACCAATAATGTATTTTTCATTTGCATTTGGTTGAAAGAAAGTCCCGTATAAATGGACCTGCACAGTTCAAAACCATGTTGTTCAAGGGTTAACTATATGTTCACAAAATAGCAACATGGTCTTTTTGTGCACAAAATGGAAAACAATGCAAATCGCCCATCACTAAAAGAAAATGAAAGAGAATAAAAATCCTTGAGATTTTCAGGCTGGTGGGGTCCAGTGAATTGTAGACCATCTTTATGCTATTGGCACATGGTAGTCCACTTTAACTGGCAAATTAAGAAAACTATAGTCCATGTTAGAATTAGGCTTGAAAGATGTTAATTATAAATTAAGTTCTTTTGAAACGTATCCTCCCCACAATATGTTATTTCCCAAGTGGCCTTTTTTGTAGCATCAGCAGTCTCAGAGTCTGTTTATATAGTATCCATTCACACTAGTCAATCTAGGAGTCGAGATGAAGGATCAGAGGATGGTTTCCTTTCCCCCTCTCCCCCGCTACTTCTTTGCCCTCCTCCCTCCAGGCATTTGCCTCAGTGAAGGGGAATTTTTTCCCATCTTTAGTTCTGGCTACAGAACAGTAGTAGCAGCGGGGTGTCTCCCCTGCATACTTTAAGTGACCCCAATATAGGAGGTTATCCCAGACTTGCAGGGGGTGGAGTTTTCTGCATTTGCAGGGGTGGGGTGTTTTCTGCATTTGCCTCCTCATTTATCTGGAGACTCACACTGGGCTGTGATCTCTTTGAAGGCCAAATAGAAGGAAACACAAAACTGTGAAAGCCCAGACCAGTACCACAATGGCTATTCATGAACTGAGGAAATGCAATCCTTCTCCCAGGCCGGAGCAAGGGTGGGTGGGCAGGGAAAGATTTAGAGATATTTAGCAGTATCAGAACCAGCCAGTAACATTTCTAATGCATGTTCTGCATTTTATCCCTTTCAAAGTATTTTCACATAATATGTTGACTCATCTGGTTTTTAACACCCTGTGAAGAAGGCAAGGTAGGAATGATGAAGCAGGAACAAGGAGAAGCTAGTATTAATAGCTAAAACTATTGAATATTTATCATGTATAGCCAGTGTTCTTGTTTGTTTTTTGTTTGTTTGTTTGTTTTGAAACAGGGTCTCATTCTGTCATCCAGGCTGGAGTGCAGGGGCATGATCACAGCTCACTGCAGCCCTGGCCTCCTGGGCTCAAATGATCCTTCTGCCTTAGCCTCCCCAGTAGCTGGGATCACAGGCACGCACCACCATATCTGGGTAATTTTTAATTTTTTTATTTTTTCTTGCAGAGACAGGGTTTTGCCCTGTTGCCCAGGCTGGTCTCGAACTCCTGGGCTTGAGTGATCTGCTCACCTCGGCCTCCCAAAGTGCTGGGATTATAGGTGTAAACCACTGCATCAGGCCTAGCCAGTATTCGAAAACATTTTACTTAATCAGAATTTAATCCTGTCTTATGAGGCAGAGTGAGTACCCATAACTATCCTTAAGTTAAAGAAGAAATGAGTGGGACTTGAGTAACTAGTAGATATCACCACTGGGATTTAAGCCAGGTTTCTCTGACACAGAGTCCCAGCTTCTGATTTATTAGGTCTAGAATAGGGTCCAAGTGGTTGCATGTCTAATAAGTTCTGGGACTAGGGTCCATACTTGGCGAACAATTGATCAAAGTATTTCCTGACTCATACCATAGACAAGTTTCCTGTTCTATCGATTTTGTCCTTGTGAAGACACGCAATCCACATAATACTATTTATAAAAGTGACAATAACAACAATGGCAGCTAAAATTAATTAAACACTATTTTACTATCATTCAGGCACTACTCTAGGCCTATGATATGTGTTAATTCATTTACTGCTCAGGGTTGGGGGCTAGAAGAGAGAGAGCACCACAGAGTTTTGAGGTCAAGTACCGGCCCAAGTATACAAACTTCCAAAGTCAGACCCCTCACACTGGCAGGTAAGGATGTGAGAAGAGAGAGAGAAAAGGAGAACGGCAGGGAATACTCTGATCCCCAATAGCCAACATAGGACAATCTTGCAGTAGCATTAGAGAGGAGTGATTGCTGGATTTCAAATCATGTCCTCCTTGGCATTTACCTTTATTATCAGGCACACTATGTAAGAGAATATGTGACTAGATGTTTAGGGGAGTGTGTGTGTGTGTGTGTGTGTGTGTGTGTGTGTGTATACTCTTCTTGGTCTGTTATTCCCTAGTCATTTAATCTTGGGCAAGTTCCTTTTTAAGTTTCAGCTGGGTATCTATAAAACAGAGATAGTGGGTGGTGGTGGTGATGATGATGATGATGATAATGATAATGATAATGATAATGATGATACTATGGTAGATTGCTTAATGGTCACAGATTCCTCCCACTCAATATGCACGCTCCTTTACAATGTGACTTTGCAGCTCTTCCCATCAAGAAATGGAATCTATTTCTACACTCCCTGAATCTAGCCTGGTTTGAGAGTTGCTTTGATCAATAGAATATCGCAGAAGTGATGTTGCATGGTTCCAGAGCCTCGGCCTCAAAAGGCTTGTAGCTTCCACCTTTGACTTCTGGTGAGGCTGCCCTAACCCATCATGAAAAGGAAGCTGGTGTAGCCTACTGGCAGATAAGAGGCCATGTGGAGGAGAACCTAGACTCCCCAGCCTACACCCAGCACTGACTGCTAGTCATGCAAGTGAACCCTAACCCTAACCCATCGGTCATCACAAACCAGATGCTGTCTGATAAGGAAAACAATGGACACATAGAGATTTTATTTTTACACAATTCCAAGCAATTAAGTCAAATGATTTTACTCCTTTCTTATACTTTTCTAGGCATCCTCTGTCGAGACAGAGTACCTTTTGAAATTACTTTCAAGGGACAGGCAATTTATATCCCAAGTGACTCATTTTTACTTTTCAAAGTATCTAACCACAGCTGTTTATAATGGACTGGTATAAAGTTAAAGCTCTTGCTAAATCAAATAATAACCTCTCAGGGATGCTCAGTCTAAGGCGTTAGAGTCATGAGAGCTGCAATTGTAGAAACTGTCTTTTGAAAGAGCATAGCTTTTACACATTAGCTTACCAGGACATAGTTAAAACTTTGCTTAAGCTTCAAGAAAAAAACTGGAACATGACAGTTGGATGCATAGTCATTCTGATGCCCTACCTGGGAGCTCATATAAACACTGCAGTGAATCTCACTCTAGAAAAAGGCTACATGATCCAAAGCTGCAAGCCAGGTCTGGGGCTGGATCATGTGAGCTCTGTAACACAGTGCTGGGTTGGCCCACTGGGTATTGTGTTTGCAGAGCTCTGGAACTGGTTGTCCCAGACTCTTGACTGCAGCAGAGCCTAGCTACCCCTTGGACTTCTCTCTGTGTTTCACAATGGTTAAAGCTAGGCAAAAATTGGAGACTGTTCTTTTTGCTAAAAGACAACCCTTTAGTGTTCAAGGCAGATAAATGTTTATAATAGTTTTTATTCAATATTTTTCTTATTTGACACACTTAATTTTTTTTCTCTACTGTTACATATATTTAAGCTATGATATAAATAAAATCTCTTGTAAACTGATGTTAGAATGGAAGTTTTGGCTAGGCACATTCAGCCACAATGAGGAGGTGCTCCTCCAAGAAACATTCATTTTCAAAAGTAAGTGGTGATACTATTCAGCCATGAAAAAGAATGAAATCATGTCTTTCACATCAACATGGATGGAACTGGAGGCCATTATCTTAAGAGAACTAAGTCAGACATAAACACTGAATTTTGTTCTAAGTGAGAGCTAAATAATGTGTACACATGGACATAGAATGTGGATTGGTAGACAATGAAAACTCAGGATGAGGGGGTTGGAAGAGGGTGGATAAAGAGAAATTACTTAGTGGGTACAATGTATGTTATTTGGGTGATAGAAACCCCCAAAACCCTGACTTTGCCACTATGCGATCTATGCATGTAAGAAGATTACTACTGTAATTGTAACTTTAACTAAATTTAAACAAAATTTTTAAAGAAGTTTAGTTTAAAAAAAGTAAGCGGTGAATCTCTCACTCATGTCAGTGGTTGAAAGGGTTTGAGAGCTGGAGATTTAGGGAGAGCACAGTGCCAGCTGATGATGGTATCCTTAAGTCATAACTCTCTTGCTTCCATTTCCTGTCTTCCTTTCCCATTTTCCACGCCCAGATAGATCTGAAACCATAATTATCAGGCTAGGAGAGGTGGGTGAAAAGCTTGGTGGAGAGTGAGAGAATTTGGACATGTTTCCCTTTCCCTGCTTTAAGCCCAAACTGGGTGGGGTGATGGGAGAGGAGAAGCTAACATTTAAGTCAAATTT
Organism: Homo sapiens; assembly: GCF_000001405.40. Classification (NCBI taxonomy): domain Eukaryota; kingdom Metazoa; phylum Chordata; class Mammalia; order Primates; family Hominidae; genus Homo; species Homo sapiens. The sequence continues at coordinate 70,621,342 of NC_000012.12, forward strand.
AGAGTTCACATTATTTCCTGGAGTTGGTATTTTTGTTAATGAACTGAGAGTAAGTATTGAGTTTTAAAGTGATATAGAGTGTCCAGAAAAGTAATGGGGCTTTTCTAACTTCTATTCAGAAGTGAAGGAAGAACTAGGTCACAGGAAAGATTTATAGTAAAGGCGAAGTAGAGACAAAAATAAAGTCCCATGAGTTATTCAATGCACTGGCTATATTTGTTTTATGATCAATAATGAAACATGTGCTCACCAGCCAGGAACCATATGCAATGTGAAATTCTGCACAATGCAAAAGATACCAGAATGCTAAATGGATGTGAAGTCATATGACTTCTATAAATGATTTGGGTTGTTTATTAGGAAAAAGCTGAAGTCTGCCAGTGGAACCTTAGCTTTTTTGATGTGCTATAATTACATGTATTGCCTAAATGGTGGACTAAAACTCTGCAAGGAAAGCAAAACCAAAGAGATGAACACCTGAAGCAGAATCACTATTTGAACAGACTCCTATGATGGTGCCACCCTGCTTCTCAGTCATTTGACTAATGTCACCTGGTGGAGGTGGTTCAAGGGTATTGATGTGGAAGTGGTACGTGACTTTTGTTTATCTTTTAATGTGCTCCTGAATCAATTATAGTGATTCTTGAATCTGCCATTGCTTTAGTCTCTCTCCCTTCCTTTGGAGCATAAATGATTATGACATATACTCAGGGTTGCCTGCAGGGCACTGATTTCAATTTCTATTTTCTGGTTTCAGGACATGTGTAACACCATGAACCCTGACTTTGGTTCAGAAAATATGGCCAACATACAGTTATTCCATGGCAGCCTAATTATCGGCATCTCATAAAGATATAGAAATTTTGAGTCAATTGCAAAGATTTTCATTATGTAAAATGCTTTCCTGTACAATTAGCAGCCAGGACACAGGGTGAGAGTGCCTAATCCCCCTACTGCAGCAGTGGCATTTTTAGCAAAGCAAGTCTTTTCAAGCAATGAGCCTCCTGAGACGTGCACAGACCACACTCCACACACCCCCTCCTTTTACCTCTTCAGTGGTGCTGGAGAAGGGCTGAGTAGTCGACAAAACCCATGATGTGTCTGTAATTCCAGTCATGTGCAGATTGGGATGCTGCCTCTCGCTGCTGTTTTGGCTGTAGTTTTCTGCAGCATTTCTGATGAAGGCCTCTGTGGTATTCCTAATAAGGAATACCAGGCCATCTGGAACTGCATTAAAGGTAGTGAGAATCTGGGGTGGAGCCGTGTTTCTAGTGCTCCTCACCGAAACTTCTGCTCCCAGGCCAGCTGAGGTAAAGAAAAGATAGTTGCAAAGATTATTCTCATGTTTTATGAATTCTTCACATAAAATCAATTTTACTTAGCAAAAGAGGGCCTTTTCAATAATGGGCATGTGGATAAGCTTCAGTTATATGAAAAAGCAAATATACTTTGAGTGTGTGACAATGTTCATTTGTCCTGTCCAATTCACCCATCCTTTATCTATCTATCAATTTTATAACCTGGAAGGAAAGTTGTAGAAACTGTGCTACCAAAGAAAAACCCAGCGCTGTGTAGAAAAGAGAATTAAACCTATTCTATGAGAATTTAGGGGGGGGGTCACTGAATTGGCTTCAGGGGAATCCATGAGTCTCCAAAAACTGTGCAAAATTATATGTATATGTGAATATGTACTTTTCTTCTGTGGGGTACTGTCATAGCTTTTATCAGCTTCTCAAAGCAGGTTTTAAACAAAATACCAGGTTGAGAATCACTGTTAATGACTTGCCTAACTTCACCACAAAGATTGACAGTTCCTTGGAAAGTAATGACACTTCGTTAGCCACAGTGCAAACTGTTTCTAATCCAACTGTATGAGTTACAAATGATGAGACTGTTGTATTTTCTAAGCTATCTATCTTCTGGAAGAACAGAGAATTGACTTATAATTTATGAGCTGGTGGGATTAACTTATAGCTTTGTTTTGCAAGGCTGAATTGCCCATATTAAAAAAAACATACTGGTTCATGAATTAGGTTCACTTAGCCATAATTTTAAAATGTGCTCTCCATCTCCTGGGAATCTTGCTAATGTGCAAATTCTGACGCACTAGAGATGGTCAGAGCCAGCCTTTTTAACAAGCTCTCAGGTGATGCTGATGTTGCTGGTTTTTGGGCTGCACTGTGTAAGCAAGACCCTAGAGCACAAGTGAAGCACTGATAAGTTCTGTAAATTATGGTTTGAGGTGGTATGTTTAGATCTTCCCATCAACTCCATAGTGCACTAGAGTTTTATGGGATAGAAAACCCCACAAAACCTTATACAATCAGATAACTGTGCCTTTGAAGAGTTTCTGGCTAAAAGACTGGGAGAGCGAGGATTTTATTTTTAACTACTCATTTACTGGTTATTTATTCAAACAACTGTTTATTATACAACTACTATGTGCCAGGTGAGGTCTCCTAAATAAGCTATTTATCATCCTATTTTCCCTGATCTGTTCTGCCTTACTTAGCCCTCTTTTGAGTCTCACTCCTTTCCATTCCAATTTCAACTGATTAGTGCATTTCGTATGATAATGGATGTAAAGAGGAGGGCGATGAGGGCACAAAAAGAAGATTAAGCTGGAAAAGGTATTTTTATAATTTATCAAGATATAAATATCAGCAGTTCTTCTGAAAGTTAATAAAATAATCTTGGCTATAAAGCAGTCTTTCCTTGAGATACAAAGGGTTGTGCAAAGTACCCTGAACATAAGGTCGATGGATTTAGCAAATAAAAATACATTCTATCCAGTCAAATAATTTTAGATGAATAGCCAACCAATTTTTAGTATAATTCAGTATATTTAGTGTATCCCACATATACAATAATACAAGGATGATAACATACTATGTATTAGTAATATACTTATACTAAAGATTATTTGTTATTTATCTGATATTCAAATGTAACCGAGTGCTGCGTATATTATCTGGCGATCCTACTTGTACATCTACTAGATCTCGGCTTTGATTGATTTTTGGACATTCCTCTTAGTTTCTGTTTGTTTTTGCCTTTCTGAATCCTGTGCCGCTATTACTGCCTTTGTGCCCAGGTTAGCCACTCCGGACATAGATCAGATTTATTCGTCCTTGGGGTGTTTTCTACATGACAAACTCAATTATACTATTAGCGAGATTCCTTTACAACAAACTCCAGGAAACAATCTTAATTCTGCAGTCTTGCTTAAGTTAGGTGCTTGAACGTTCCCTTAAGTAGACGTTTGTCTATTGTAGGGATGTAAACATTTCTGTATATGCAGATTAGCATTTTGGTTGTTTTGAGCTGTGGTAGATCCTGATCCTCTGAGTTGACTGCTACGTATGACAATTTTAGCTCTTAGACCCTCAAAAAAAATTTAACCGTGGGGTTAGGACAAAAACAAGCTTCTAAATACCTAGCATCTAATTACATGTCTTAGTATGTCAACCTATGCTTACTCTTCTTCACTAAAGAGCTGTTGGTAAGTTTCTATCCTAAGAACTTTTTAAAAAAATTAGTCAGCTTACATAATCCAGTGGATAAAACTGGACTTTCCCAAAAGTAGATAAATTTTCAAAACACTCTTGAAATTTCTCTGCAAATAACATAGGTTATTACCATTGCATGTAGCTTTGGACTATCCTATGGAAAAAATTTCAGTCTTATGTCATTATCTTTAATTAACCTTCTAAATATATTTTTAAAGCATCCCATACCAAGCAAGTTCATTTTCCATTTTAGACCACCACCTTTTTTCCAAAGAAAGAAACTACAGAATATTCAGGTCCAGTACCCTTTCATTTTGTGTCTGTGTTTTTAACTTGTGCTATTTAAGAAGCAAGAAAGAAGATTTAGTCTTAACATTCAACTTCCAAGTTTTGTCAAATTTAAAGCAGTGGTTTGCAAACTTTTGTAGCCATCAGAATCATATTTGGAGCTTGTTAGAATATTGAAGCCTTGGTCCTGCTCCTGGAAACTGCGATTTAGCAGACTTGGTGTGGGACCTGAAACCTGCTATTATAACAAGTTTCTCAGGTGATTCCTAATATACATGTACGTATATGGTTTTAGTCATATACATAATATGAACCAAAAAGAAATTTGAATCATTTCTTATGTGGTTACTGAAGGATTATAAAATGGATGGGAAGAAAGAAAATCCATTATAGAAATATATAAGATGATTAAGTTTTTTTTTTTTTATCTCCTGAACTCTTTGTTGAAACAGGTGCTGTGAAATTTTATTTGAAATAGTAGATCTTTGGATATTTTGTTATCCATGAATTCTTTGGGTGTTCTTAAAAAAGGTATATATGTTTCACAGTTCATGGAATAGCAAGATGTTTTGACAAATGCAAGGAAAACTTCTTATACAATGGAACAATATGTGAAAGCTATTTTTGAAAGCTTTATTGTGTCATTGTTACTACATTGTTTCCCTACTATAACACAATTTCTCCCAGAACACAATTCAAGGTAAGGTCGACCATTCTTGGTCAATCTAAAAAGTTTTAGCATTTAAGTTGCATAAAGCTCTTTTTATAGGGTACTATCACCTTACAAAGTGATTTGTAATGACTGCATAATATCAAGACTATCTTTCAAATTCATTTTTAAAAGAGCAATGTGTATTTTATCTTATAAATTCATCTATGGCTCAGAAATAATAACAGAAATAAAAATTTTTATAAAGATAATATATTGTGTAAGTTTCCCTTCTTTAAATGATACAAATAACTTTTAAGCATGTTGAAAACAAAATAACTTGAATGAAACTCATTTTTGGAATAGAAGATTTTAACTATACTGGTACTTTCTATTCTGTAGGAAGATGCCAAATATAATGTGCCTTTTTAACAGAGAGCAAATCATCTGGAAAAAAGATAACAAATGAAACAGGAGATACTTTAGAAAAGGATGATGTCTATCCATCCATCTATCTATCTATCTATCTATCTATCTATCTATCTATCTATCTATCTATCTATCTATCTATCTATCTATATTCCTGCCTGCCTGCCTGCCTGCCTGCCTGCCTGCCTACCTACCTACCTACCTACCTAATCTATCTAGTTGGCTCTTTGTATCTGCGGGTTCCTCATCGGTGGATTCAACCAATTGCAGATCAAACATATTAGGAAAAAAATGGATGGTTGCATCTGTACTGAACATGTACAGACATTTTTTCCTTGTCATTATTCGCTAAGCAATACAACAACTATTTATATTTACATTTGTTAGGTGTTATTAGTAATCTAGAGATAATTTAAAGTATATAGGAGGATGTGTGTAGGTTATATGTAAACACTACATCTTTTTATATAAGGAATTTGAGCATCCTTGGATTTTGATGTCTGCAGGAGGTGCTGGAACCCATCCCCATGTTACTGAAGGATGACTGTACACACACACATACACACGTGTGTGTGTGTGCATTAAATAAGACTTGACTGGAATAGATGGGAATGATAATGGACTAAATAATTATTGGAAATGGTTAAAAGAATAATTAACATTTCAGAAAATATAATTAGTGAAATAAAGAGTGCACCTAAAATACATATCTAAATTACTTTTAAAAGACCCATGATTAGAAAGAAAGTAAAATTAATAAATGGAAATTGATACAAGACATAGCATAGTAAAACACTAAAGCATAGCACAGGGAATAAATTAGACTAAAAAAATAATTGAAAGGCTAACTAAATCAAAGAAATACATTTCAATAGCCAACTATTACTCAACGATTCTACTATGCATGGCATTATGAAGATGTGCCTGTTTTACCTAACACCCTATGTTTTCTTTAGGAGAAAAGACTGAAATAGTAGGGTGGAAGGAAGGCATGCTGGGTGGAGGAGGAAGAATGGCTCCAAAGTTCAGGGCTATCAGGCTATAGGAGAGAGGTGTTGAACCAGAGACTAAACAGAGTCAGGGAAAGGGGAGCTGGAAAGGGGGTGAATAACTTGGCGTGCGCAGGACTGACTTGTCCATTAGACGCAATAGGCACAGTGATTAGGGCCCATGATAATTTTAGGGCAACACAATGATTTAATTTGTTTGAAAATAAAAAAGAAACTTTAGAGTCAAAGAAAATGTTTTAACTTTTTCATAGATTAGGAAAAATGACAATTTTAGGCTACATGAAAATCTATTATTTTACTTTTCTTTTTTTCAGCAGAGGAAAGGGACCATAGAGGCAAAAGAACCCAGGGCCCATGAAAGTCATACATAGCCCTGTGTGTGCCCTGATAAGTTCAGTGACATGTCACAGGCTGAATATGGTTGGGGAATGCTGGATGCTATACCTGCTATCTTCAATGATCATATAAATCATATATCAATAATCATTGATAACATTATTTTCAGACATTATATTTAAAAATGGTCCACTACAAGGCCCATGTTGTTACAATGATGCAAGAAGAAAAACCCTAAAATGACCGTGACAGCCAATTTAGTACAAGTAGGGTTTGTATACACAAAAGGCACTTTCTGTTTTGTTTTGTTTTTCCCCACAAGCTCTTCGTATTCACAAGTACTTCTGCCGGCCAGTAAAGCCAACAACTTCTACGAAAACTTTTTTCCCAAGGGTGTATATGATTGCTTATCTTTTACAATGTTCACACATTTTATTCCCTCTCCCAAATCACTACAACTAAACAATTACTTTAACCAGCAGTTAAATCGAGCCTGCCAACAATATGGTTTAGTTCATCAGCAAAATCTCTTTTAGGGATTTTACCGGTTCGGCCATATCAGGGACACTTGAAAATTTGCCTACAAATATTTGCCTGCTTTCCAGTGCAGCCCTTGGAATTAAAAAAGAAAATTCCTGCCCTCAGATAAAGGTGAGATTTGAATGAATGAATCTGAATTGAGTGGTAAATAAATGAATAAATGCTGATTGGTTGGCTGACATTCTATATTCAGTGTTACTTTCTTCACAGAATGAAATGTCTGAGTGAAAAATAACAATTTTAGACAATTGACTAGCTTTTTATAAATGTAAGGAGACTTGACATTCCTTCGAAAAGTTATCCAAACCATGGATGGAGTTCTGCACCCTTCACCTGAAAGTTCTGGAATGACATAGGCATGGCCTATCGGCCCATGGATTTGCGTGAATGTTTTTGAAACCAGTTTTGAGTTTATAATGTTTTAATTTCCCCCTGGCAAGGAATATTTGCTTAGATCTAGTAGCAAACCAGTAATTTCCTTTGAGTAAATTTCCCTGTTTCTGTACAGGCCAAGGCATGAGAAATTTTCCCCATCTGATAGATTCATAAAACTTCAATAACTGGGTCACTGTAAGCTTTGTTGTCTGCTTGGGGCCAGTGCTATTTCTTGCTGGAATAGATGCAACTGTAACTTTTTTTTCTTTTACAGATAGGGTCTTGCTGTGTTGCCCAGGCTGGTCTTGAACTCCTGGCATCAAGCAATTCTCCCACCTTGGCCTCCCAGAGTGCTGGGGTTATAGGCATGAGCCACTGTGCCTGGTCAACTGTAACATTTGATTGCTTGGTGAGTTTAAAAATTATACTTGGATTGCACAGAAGACAAAAGCAATAATTTATGATGCCATACACTAACTATTCATGGCATTCCTGAAAGTAGTCCTTAAAGCTTTATTATTCCTTTTTCCTTTACTGTTCTGACAGTAAACACTTTGCACAAAGTTGAAACATTTATTAATTTATTCAGGAAGAAGAAGTGGTTAGTAATAATGGTGCTAGCTAAACTATTAATATGATAAACTCTTGTGTGCCCCCAAAAGACTGTTTAAAAATATGCAACTTTAAAATTACCCTTGAAACATTTTTTTAAAGAATGACTGCGTACTCCTCAGCAAATGTAAAAGAAGAGAAATCACAACAAACTGCCTCTCAGACCACAGTGCAATCAAATTAAAACTCAGCATTAAAAAATTCACTCAAAACCGCACAACTACATGGTAACTAAACAAGCTGCTCCTGAATGACTACTGGGTAAATAACAAAATGAAGGCAGAAATAAAGATGTTCTTTGAAACCAATGAGAACAAAGACACAATGTACAGAATCTCTGGGACACATTTAAAGCAGCGTACAGAGGGAAATTTATAGCACTAAATGCCCACAAGAGAAAGCATGAAAGATCTAAAATTGACAACCTAACATCACAATTAAAAGAACTAGAGAAACAACAGCAAACAAATTCAAAAGCTAGCAGAAGGTAAGAAATAACTAAGATCAGAGCAGAACTGAAAGAGATAGAGACACAAAAAACCCTTCAAAATATCAGTGAATCCAGGAGCTGTTATTTTGAAAACATCAACAAACTACATAAGACTGCTAACAAGACTAATAAAGAAGAAAACAGAGAAGAATCAAATAGATGCAATAAAAAATGATAAAGGGATATCACCACCGATCCCACAGAAATACAAACTACCATCAGAGAATATTATAAACACCTCTATGCAAATAAAACAGAAAATCTAGAAGAAATGGATACATTCCTGGACTCATAATGTGTCCAAGACTAAACCAGGAAGAAGTGGAATCTCTGAATAGACCAATAACAGGTTCTGAAATTGAGGCAATAATTAATAGCCTACCAACCAAAAAAAGTCCAGGACCAGATGGATTCACAGCCGAATTCTACCAGAGGTACAAAGAGGAGCTTGTACCATTCCTTCTGAAACTTTTCCAATCAACAGAAAAAGAGGGAATCCTCATCCTGATACCAAAGCCTGGCAGAGACACAACAAAAAAAGAGAATTTTAGACCAATATCCCTGATGAACATCAATGCAAAAATCCTCAATAAAATACTGGCAAACCGAATCCAGCAGCATATCAAAAAGCTTATCCACCACAACCAAGTCAGCTTCATCCCTGGGATGCAAGGCTGGTTCAACATATGCAAATCAATAAATGTAATCCATCACATAAACAGAACCAACAACAAAAACCACATGATTATCTCAATAGATGCAGAAAAAGCCTTTGACAAAATCCAACAGCCCTTCACGCTAAAAACTCTCAATAAACTAGGTATTGATGGAACAGATCTCAAAATAATAAGAGCTATTTATGATAAACCCACAGCCAATATCATACTGAATGGGCAAAAACTGGAAGCATTCCCTTTGAAAACCGGCATAAGACAAGGATGCCCTCTCTCACCACTCCTATTCGACATAGTGTTGGGAGTTCTGGCCAGGGCAATCAGGCAAGAGAAAGAAATAAAGGGTATTCGATTAGGAAAAGAGGAAATCAAATTGTCCCTGTTTGCAGATGACATGATTGTATATTTAGAAAATCCCATAGTCTCAGCTTTGGGCTGAAATTTTGGATCTCCTTAAGCTGTTAAGCAATTTCAGCAAAGTCTCAGGATACAAAATCAATGTGCAAAAATCACAAGCATTACTACACACCAATAACAGACAGAGAGCCAAGTCATGAATGAACTCCCATTCACAATTGCTACAAAGAGAATAAAATACCTAGGAATCCAACTTACAAGGGATGTGAAGGACCTCTTCAAGGAGAACTACAAACCACTGCTCAACGAAATAAAAGAGGACACAAACACATGGAAGAACATTCCATGCTCATGGATAGGAAGAATCAATATCGTGAAAATGGCCATACTGCCCAAGGTAATTTATAGATTCAATGCCATTCCCATCAAGCTACCAATGACTTTCTTCACAGAATTGGAAAAAACTACTTTAAAGTTCATATGGAACCAAAAAAGAGCCCACATAGCCAAGACAATCCTAAGCAAAAAGAACAAAGCTGGAGGCATCACACTACCTGACTTCAAACCATACTACAAGGCTACAGTAACCAAAACAGCATGGTACTGGTACCAAAACAGAGATATAGACCAATGGAACCGAACAGAGCCCTCAGAAATAATACCGCACATCTACAACCATCTGATCTTTGACAAACCTGACAAAAACAAGCAATGGGGAAAGGATTCCCTATTTAATAAATGGAGCTGGGAAAACTGGCTAGCCATATGTAGAAAGCTGAAACTGGATCCCTTCCTTACACCTTATACAAAAATCAATTCAAGATGGATTAAAGACTTAAATGTTAGACCTAAAACCATAAAAACCCTAGAAGAAAACCTAGGCAATACCATTCAGGACATAGGCATGGGCAAACACCTCATGACTAAAACACCAAAAGCAATGGCAACAAAAGCCAAAATAGACAAATGGGATCTAATTAAACTAAAGAGCTTCTGCACAGCAGAAGAAACTACCATCAGAGTGAACAGGCAACCTACAGAATGGGAGAAAATTTTTGCAATCTACCCATATGACAAAGGGCTAATATCCAGAATCTACAAAGAACTTAAACAAATTTACAAGAAAAAAACAAACAACCCCATCAAAAAGTGGGCAAAGGATATGAACAGACACTTCTAAAAAGAAGACATTTATGCAGCCAACAGACACATGAAAAAATGCTTATCATCACTGGTCATCAGAGAAATGCAAATCAAAACCACAATGAGATACCATCTCTTGCCAGTTAGAATGGCAATCATTAAAAAGTCAGGAAACAACAGATGCTGGAGAGGATGTGGAGAAATTGGAACACTTACACTGTTGGTAGGAGTGTAAACTAGTTCAACCACTGTGGAAGACAGTGTGGTGATTCTTCAAGGATCTAGAACTAGAAATACCATTTGACCCAGTGATTGCATTACTGGGTATATACTCAAAGGATTATAAATCAAGCTACTATAAAGACACATGCACGTGTATATTTATTGTGGCACTATTCACAATAGCAAAGACTTGGAACCAACCCAAATGTCCATCAATGGTAGACTAGATTAAGAAAATGTGGCACATATACACCATGGAATACTATTGCAGCCATAAAAAATGATGAGTTCATGTCATTTGCAGGGACATGGATGAAGCTGGAAACCATCATTCTCAGCAAACTATCACAAGGACAGAAAACCAAACACCGCGTGTACCACTCATAGGTGGAAATTGAACAACGAGAACACTTGGACACAGGGCAGGAGACATCACACACTGGGTCCTGTCGGGGGGTGGGGGACTGGGGGAAGGATAGCACTGGGAGAAATGCCTAGTGTAAATGACGAGTTGATGAGTGCAGCAAACCAACATGGCACACGTATACCTATGTAACAAACCTGCACATTGTGCACATGCACCCTAGAACTTAAAGTATAATTAAAAAAAAAAAAGGAATGAGTGCTTAATGTGACATACTGGCAAGGACATATATTGGAAAGGAAAGTACTTTCTTCTCTCTACATTCTATTGTAATTACCTATTTATTTACTTATCTGATTTCCCCATTACTTTAAGGAATAAGATGTATTTAATGATTTGCAACCTTGGCTGCACATCAGAATCACCTAGGAAGTACTTTAAAAATACAATACCTCATTTAGTCAGCTTAGAGGATAAAGCTCAGGTTTTATACTCTAGTATTAGTTAAAAGCTGCCATGTGAGTCTAATATGCAGCTTGGGTCAAAAATCACTTGTGGAGGGCACCTTAGTACTAGCACAGGGTACCTGAGTGCTAGCACAAGCTCTGGCACATAGTAGGTGTTAAATAAATATTACCTGGAAACTTGAATACAATCATTAATGTGTCTTTTATGAAACAAATATGAAACATGTGGCTTAGATTTTTACCTTCATAGGTCTGCTTTCTTTCATGGAAGAACACACAAAAAAATTCACATCCCATAGATGAACAACACATGTATTTGTGCTGCTGTAGATTATAATACTTAGTTACCAACTTAAACAATGATTTGAAATCACTCATTGCAAACATATGAATGCATTTCGGTTAATTTTTCACAGTAGCTACTCTAGCAAGTCAGTGAGCTCTCATGATATAGGTCTACAAGTATTATTCTTAAACTTTTATCAGGGCTGGGCATGGTGATTCATGCCTGTAATCCCAGTACTTTGGGAGGCTGAGGTGGGAGGATCACTTGAGCCCAGGAGTTGGAGGCTACATTGAGCTATGATCACACCATGGCTCTCCTGCCTGGGCAACAGAGCAAGACTTTGTTTCTAAAAACAAAAACCAAAGAAAAAACAAAAACAAAAAGAAAAAACCCCACAATGGCATATTTAAGATGGAGCAGAAAAATATATCTGTTAGCTTATAATTGTGTTAAAGCAAAAGTATGTGTTATACTTATGTGTACTCAAATATAAGGGTGTTTTTGTACCACAATTGTGCAAATTTTAACTTCTGCTTTTTCTAGAAATTAATTTCTTTCCCCAACACATATTATCAGGCATTTTTTGAATATAGCATTGTTCAGTGGTTAATTGCAAATGGCTTATTCTAGTTACCTTATTTTCGAAGTCTATTACTAGACATATTTGTATGAGGGTCATAGGAGGTAGTTTTTCTATGAATTATCTTTTATCTTGAATAACTCACCACTGAGTCCATATCTACTTTTTTTTAAAGTTCCAACTAAGTAATCTTATGTTAAATAAGGTTTGATTGGGGTTTGGGGATGAATCTCACTTCTTGTGTAAAACAGTAAAAATGGAACAGTTATAATGTTTCTATATTATTTAGGAGAGGCCTTGATAGATGAACCACAGGAAAGGTATTGTACAAATTGGTGCTATATGCTGAATATTTTCTGATAAAGTTGAATTTTTGAGTAGGTTTTTTTCTCATAGGCAGAAATGATATAAGAACAGAAACTATAACTCTCAACTTTTATTGTAGCAAAGCATACCACTTATTGTAGAAAAGCATAACACATTCAAATGGCATCTAGTTAAATGCTTGTTTTAACTTACAGAATGAATGAGTGAGAAAAAATTGTCCAAAGATTACCATGGTGGAAAGACTAATATAAGCCTCACAAATCAACACCTAAGGAAAAGACTTAACAATACAGTGGATGCTGATCTCCATATTGGATTATGGATCAAAATTTTCTGGTGATTAATAAATATCAAGTATTATGCACAAATCCAGATTTCCTGAAACAGAATCTTGGAGGTGGTTGTAGAGGAAAAAATGGTGGGAAAGAATCCTGGGAATGTGTATTTTTTTTTAAATTTTTATTTTTAGTTTTGGGGTACATGTGCAGGGTGTGCAGATTTGTTACATAGGTAAACGTGTGCCGTGGTGCTTTGTTGCACCTATCAACCCATCACCTAGGAATTAAGCCCAGGATGCATTAGCTACGGGAATGTGTATTTTTAGTAAGCCCTCCCTTTTCTACCCCAGGTGATTCTTAGGCAAGCCATGGGGCAAGTCTGTGGTCAAGCATTTGGGAACCTCTGGTATAGTAAAATGTACACTGAACAAAGAGTCAAAAAACTTAGGCTCTAATCATAGATCTGCTGCTAATTTATCTGGGACAATTTACTTAACCCTGAAAAATTTGTCTTCTTAGTGAGGCGCTTCGTTTCTTGATAACTTTTCCCATGCTTTGTAAGGTTCATTGGTGCCTAATATATTGTGATTCATCAGTTTTATCTTTCATGACTTTCTAAAGCAAACCTCTAATAGAAGAGTAAATACACAATTGCATGATTAACTTCAAGAGAAGATTAAACTGCCTATATATTCCACAAGCAAAAATTCCTAGCTCAGGACTGAACTGTGTCCTGCACCAGGAGCTTGCACATGTGTATAACATATTTTCTACATGTGTCCATTATCTGGGTTATATCCATTAATGGTCAATAAATTAGAAAAATCTGTGGCTGCCCATTGATTCTTAACATTTCAAAAGTGTGTTACCTCCAAAAGATATCTACCCCTAAACAGCAATACAAGAGATTTGCAAAAACACAACTATCTTCCAGTCTTATCAAGCACCATTCTGATGTTCTAATAATTTATTATAATTAGCAAATAGAAGTGTCTGTCAATAAAATCTAATAATTTTCCGATTACTGACTTTAGTCATTACATATATAGGCTGTGTATATGCCTACATCCATATTCCTACATCTAACAGTGCTTAACTGGCAGAGAAGAGAGGCTCATGAAATAGTTGTTGAATTAATAAAAGAAGCAAGACAAGAAGGGAAGGAAGAAAAAGCAATAGAAAAAGTTGGGCTTATTTTAATGAGGGTCATGAAGTTTTCCATCATTGGGCACGTCACCATCCACCTCCATTAGCTTATGAATCTTCCATAGGAAATATGTTGGGGCATGTGGACTTCCCTTAAATGTAAAACAAACAAACAAACAAACAAACAAAACCCCCAAGATATTTAGTAGAAAGACTTTCAGGATTTGCTCTGAAAGGAATAGCTCACCTTTTTGTAAACAGAGGCTTTCATTGACCAGTTTTCCCTCCTTGTTGACATCTATTTTCATCCAGCTATGGAGGTATTTCCTGGCCTTCTTGACCACTACTCTGGAGCCTTGTTTCTGGAGAAAGAGAGAGGCATTTTCCACCTCAAGGAAGCCTTCCTGATCATAGCAGGTCCATCGGGGTGCCTGGGAACAGCGGTCCAAGATGGCTGAGCGGGAGGGGCCGCGGGAAGAGTTGGAGATGGCCAAGCACAGTGCAGATTTAACATGAAGGAGCTTTTCATCCTCAGTCCACATCCACTGCTGGTTCTGGATGGTCCTGTTGCATGAGCCCACGACCACTTTCTCATTTTTGAAAAGACACTGTTGTTTCTGGACATGGACAATCTGAAACCCTTCTGGAAGATGAAAAGCTCATAAAGCACTATGTAGCAAATTATGAGGCCCATTAGAAAACGGAAGAACCCACCCACAAATGAGCTAAATAAAATCACTAGTTTTACTTATATTTTGTTATTTCTATCATTTCAAGTGAACATTCTCATATTTAACACATGTGATTTAAAATTCCAAAGCTGACGATATAAAATGTCAATATGTTACACTTAACTCCCCATCTTTTTTTTTTTTTTAATTTTCACATGCTTTAGGGGAAAAAAGCACACCTCTTATTGGAAAATGAAAGGAAGCTTGGAAAGAAACAAAACCATCCAAAGTATATAGTATATTTTAGCCCAATTAGTTAGATATGCTGAAGTTATGAAATGCTCAGCTCCCTTTTTAACCATTTGACATATTCGATATAAGCTTCCTCCCTTACCTTAAAAAAGCACCCCCTTTTCCAGTCTTTAAATTCACATTGCAGTATTTATATACAAATTTCATAGTTTGAATAACAATTTTTTAAAATTGCATACATTTATCAAAAAATAAAACAAATTTTCCCACTTCTCCAAGCACAACCTCCTAGCTAATTGCAGCCAATGAAAGTATTGATTATCACAAACTAAATTTCCTTTAGTCGTGGAGAGGAGCATTTCTCTATTTTATGACAATATCTACAGTTTTCTCTCAAATACGAATAGATTTTCTAAAAATCATCATGTGCCAGTGTAAGAAAATTAAACATCAAATTGCTAAACATCAGTATTAAAGAGCAAGATACTCTGGCTCAGAAACCATTTTCAATGAGGTTTTACTTAAATTGCCCAGCTCGCTCATGAAAATGTTCAGCCCTCCCAAATGACAACTTCCAAATAAAACACACTACATTTCCTCACCCCCTTTAATCATATTCCTTCAATTTTCTTTCTTCAACACAAAAGAAAATAAAACTATAACCGGGTCGGAAAAAGGCTTGGGGAAAGCCACAGACTGTTATATAATAATACAAACTTTTCCTCGGGGTTCTTTACGCTCTGCTCTAAATGTATCATTTCAGGGGCTGCCTGAAGCATTTGGAGGATGAGAGGAGAGCATTTATTTTCTTTTGGAGAGAAATCTCAACAGTATGGGCATAGCTGGCTCCTTTTATTCCTGCTTTTCATCGTCTTTGGCTAAACTGCCATGGAGACCTGGCCCCTTCTACCTTATTTCAGACACTTCAAAGACCAGGGACTCCTTGGCTAGATCTTGAAGAAATGCCTCAGGACACTGAGGCAGACCCACTCACCTGAGTTCCTGAAGATCAAGCAGGTAAGAATCACCATGTAAAATTCAGCCTCCATTTTCCACTTAGCAACTGTTCATGCTTCGCTTGGGGAAAAAAAAAATTCTCCCAGATAAGAGAAGCAAAGACTAGGAAGGAAATGTGCCTTCATGGTGGGGGGAAAAGTCAGTGACGAGCACTTCCTCCTATTGAATTGTTTGGGGAAGTTTTACACCAGTGTCCTTTTGTCTGTTTCCTTAGAAAGAAGGGATTATGATTACCTCTTTTTTTTAATGTAGAAAATATTCCAGCCTTCAAGAGCAGAGTAAATCTCGTTAAGACCTCACCTACCTTTCCTTTGGCATGTGACTGCTTCTTAACCTCAAGAAGAAAGAAAGGAATTGAAATCTCAGATAATTGAATGTTCCTGAAACATTACATCTCTTCAGGTGATGTGATTCTGCTGAATAAACATAAGCCATGTAATTGATGAGGGTCTATGACAAGTGATATAAAGACATAAACATGTACTGTTTGTATAATGATATGCTGCGAGTCTATTGAGGAAAACCACATAATGATGGCACTTCTAGATCATTATCTCCCAAGTGATGACAATATTACATTTTGAGATCGTCATCTTCACTGGGGAGATGCAGACACTAAAATTAAACCCATCACATTATCTACTTTGGTCTTCCCCAAACAGAGGATGGCGTCTTTCCAAATAGAAAAAAAAAAAAGAATATGCTTTACTCAGTATTTAGTATTAAGAGTTTATTGGCAGTATGAAACAAAGTCAACATTGCTGCATTAAAAATTCATATATGAGCAGAACAGCTAGTGTTTGCTGAGGGTAGTTATTTTAATTTTTTTTGTCTCTTGAAGATTGAAAGCTTTCAGAAATGTAAGGACATACATGGAAATGTCCTTATAAGGAGCCTCGAAAATGGGACAGATTATATCATTCCTGAAGGCATATACCTTTTGTTGAGAGAGAGATTCCAGGTAGATAGCATATTCAAAAATCCCTTCTTAGCAAAAGAGAGACAAGTAGTTAAAACTCTTGATACTTCAGAGTTGCTACAAATTTGTTTTTCCCTTTTAAAGTAAAATGACTCACGATGTGGAAATACAGTGGATAGAGTTCTGGAGCAGAAGCCACCTTTATGCCCAATAATAGAGAGTAAATACATATATACCCAATGACAATCATTGTGCTCTGTAATTGTTTGATAGGAGGGACTATAAATACACATTTAATAGGTAATATTATCAAGACACATTTCCATATAAAATAGTTACTGTTTTTGATTTTTGTTTTTCAAAAACAAAGACTTCTCTGTTAAAAATCCATTATCAATCACTTGCAACTTTAGCAGCAAGATTCTGGTAACTGAGAAAGGTAATAGCACTTCAAAACAGGAACAGTTTAACAGCTGACAGTCCATTCACAAGACAGATTTTGCAAACATTAAAGCATCTAACACATAATACGAATGTCTTCAGCAGCTCATCCAGTCATCACCTGATGACATTTATTACTGAATATTACATACATACATTCTGTGTGGCAGATAGAGTCAGTACAGACAAAACAAAATCTGCCTTAGGCTGTGTGATAAACCTATCATACCTCCATCATCAAAAAACCTTCAGAATAATTTGGGGGATGCTTACAAATGCATTCATATACACAAGGAGCTGGAAATCTTAAATATGTTGCCCAGTCTTCCACAATCCATGCCATACATGGGCTTCAGAGCTTCTCCTTCCTTCCATTGCAGGAAGCTCCTTCTAGAAGCCTTGGGTGGGTAATTTGATTAATCACCCCAAGAGATTGATGGTCTGACAAGTCTTCAATGACTCACTGGACAGTCTCTGCTGAAAGTCTGCTCTCATACAGGCACAGAGCATGGTGCACAAATTCATACTGCTCACTGGTTTGCACCATTCCACCTCTGCAAGGAAGAAATCATAAAATAACTGATTTTGCTAAAATCTTGCAATTTCAAGTAACACAGAGATTTCATCCAAGCTAGGGTATTATGCCAAAGACACATAGAACAGTCGACCTAGTGGTTCTTTTGTTATCCCTCTTACCTGTGTCCAAATGTCTCAACTATCAAAGTTAACATGGTAATGTATATAAAGGGCTTAACACAGTTCCCAGCACACACTAGGCACGTGATTAATTTTTACCTGTGTAACATTACTGGGGAGGTGGTACAGCCTAATGATCAAGTACTTGGATTTGGCATCAGCCAAGGTGAGTTCAAATCCCTCCTCTGCCAATTCTTAGCTGTATGCATCTTGGACAAATTCCTCGAAACCCCTTGCACTTTAGTTTCTTCCTCTGTTAAAGCAGGATAGTAACAGTAACTACTGCTGTGAAGGTTAAATAAATTCATTGTAGCTGGTATATTTGTATTACTTCTCAGGTGCCTCATGATTCATCTCTTGTTAAAATGGTTTATACATTTGGCTTAAAATTGATTGACGGAGACAAACCAAACAAAACTCATCTGCAAAATGTTGCTTTCTACAAGTAAAATGAAGTCTACCTTGGAATGGTTTATTTGAATATGTTGTACAGAAGCAACCTTAGCCTTTTGGTGTACGGGGTGTCTAAACACAATAGTGGGTGGGTCCTTAAATGAGTTGGAAAAAGGGAATTGGCTCTGCTGTGACATTTTCCTCTTGGTTATCACCATTATCATCACTAGCTGCCCAGCACCCTCCTTGTCAATGGATTCATAGAAAGCACTTGCCTTCATGAGAAATAACGGTGCTTCTCATTATGTTTTTATATACATAATACCTATATCACATTTTCCCCCTTCATAATTATGATCCTTTTTTAATTTTAGTTTTTGAGAAAACGTCTCCTTAATTGCTTAGGCTGTTGTGCAGTGGCATGATCACAGCTCAGTGCAGCCTCAACTTCCTGGGATCAAGCAATTCTCCCACCTCAGCCTCTGGTGTAGCTGGGACCACAGGCACCACCACACCTGGACAATTTTTAAATTTTTTTTTTCTTGTAGAGACAAGGCCTCACTATGTTGCCCAGGCTGGTCTCCTGGACTCAAGTGATCCTCTTGTCTTGGGCTCCCAAAGTGATGGAATCACAGGCTTGAACGACGGTGTCCAGTCCTATAATTATGATTTTTTAGCTTGACAAAGTTACCAGACATTAATATGTTACTATTCCTGCTCACTGTATAAAAGCATCACTATCGGTAACTATTTAAAGTCTTGTAAATTCTCTGTAACTCTGCAATCATGCAACTGATCTTATCTTTTAGTTTAACTCTATGTTTTAACCAGATTTTTCCAAGTGGTTGTTAGTATCATTCAAAATAACTTTCAGATTATTTAGGCACTTCAACTTAAAAACAAGATATCTTGTCTCACTGTAACAAGACTTCTAGTTAATGGTAATAATAAAAACTGGGCTTCTATGTTTATTTGTCAATCTATGTCAATATTAGAGCAGTAAAACTTCCTTGTTTTAAACTAAACAGTGATTCCCCAGGAAAATTAACATGATGTCAAAATGATGTAATTGGCAAAAAATAAAGAGGTAAATTCACAGTTTTTGGTGACAGCAACTTATTGACAGAAGTATTTAATTGGTCTTCCTCCCCTAGAGCTGTACATTTTGTTGCATTGAAGGCAACCTTCTGGGCTAAGTATTCCTTGGTCAGAAGTGAACAACAGAAATGGCCAGCTGAGAATGTGGTAATGGTTTATCTTCTTAGCTGTGTGATGACATCTGGGCTCATCTAAAATCATAGCAGGTGTTCCGAAGATGCTGGCTTGAACTGTGAAGCTTGGGAGACACCACCACAGTAAATATTAGGGTAGCTCCAGGGAGCTGAGAGGTGCCTCCCTTCCTCTGGCATTTGCACAGCTCAGGGCACCATTACTCCCTCTTGAGCTGCAGACAGTATGTGGAAGCTTCTATGTGCTCCACCTCTTAGGCTCTGGTCTGTCAGCTTCCTCTCACCATTTACCTCACTTTGAGGCAAGATTTTCCCCTTCTTGTATGTTCTGGTCAGCACTGGTATTTACATGTCCAACTGGTGAATGAATGGAGACACAGTTTAGAATTTAATAACTGTTTCACCCTAAGTGGGTCAGTGGTGTAATTTAATGGTTGGAGTATATTTACTATGACATTCTGTTCACTAAATCAAGGTTGTTTTAGCCAGTGAAAGTGGGGAAGATGGAGAAGCATACTCATTAATTGTGGGCTGGCAAAATTCTTGCAGGTCTGAAGGCTTCAGGAAAGTATATGAAAAGTTCTCTTACCTCCCACTTAATTTGGAAAATAAAAATGAAAAAAACTGGCATCAGAGGAATTCTTAGAGATCATCCATTCTAGTCACTGACAATATAGCTTTTTTAGAAATCTTGCAATTTTAGAGGCAGCCTTTTCCAAGGTTGGCAGGAAAACTTTTAAGACATCAACATGAATCTGTCCTTTCTAACTTTCACCGCATTGGTCCAACTGAAATAACCCAAAAGACGTCTTAAGGCTCCCCTGTAGTCACACAACAGCTCTCCAAAGGCTGGAAAACAGCCATCAAAGTCCTATAATCTTTTCTTCTTTAGACTAAACATCCTG